>NC_000024.10:5141586-5441996 GCF_000001405.40 Homo sapiens | reverse complement strand
TCAGAAATCATATGTTGTATTTCTGAGAAAGAAATATTTACAGGCATAATCTTTTTTTGCATCTTAATTGTCAATACCTTAGTTGCTCAAAAGAAAACATCTTTCTGTTGGGGAAAATCTTCCCCAAGAAAAAGCAAAATAGCTTTTGCTGATATATCCATGTTGAATAGAAATAGCAGGTGTACTAATCCCAGGTGCATGCTGTATGGACAGTTAGAGATCTCTTCAATAATTGAATTCTGAAAAAGTCAGGATAAAAAGCTGCCAGGACCCAAAGTAAAACAGTGAAATCAATTGTTTCTTTTCAGAGTGACAATTATTATTTCTCACATAATAGATGTTATTATCTCAAGTAGCAAAAAGCACATGGGGGTCTTGCAGGTAGTCTGAATAAACCTTTTTTATGAGTCTTTTTAAAATAAATTCCCTTAAAGCTTTAGAGGACAGCTCAGTATGCAATCAACTAGACTGCCCAAGTGCACATGAAAAATAAGAGATTTTGGCAGTAATCAAGCACTGCAAAAGCTTTTTTTTTTTAAAGCATCATTTATTTCAAAGTACAACACAAAGTTGTATTTTTAAGAAATACACATTCAATCTTGTATCTCAAGACTTGGCTATGAAGCACTGCAAAATCTTAAAACTCATTAACACAAGGTTTTTTATTACAGTTGTTTTTAAAACGATTTATGTAATTCAAATATTCAAAATGTTCCAGGGCTTTCAAGTCCATTGTTTGACCCTACTATGTTAGACTTTTAGGTCTAATATTAATCTCTTTATTTTTACGCTATAGTGAGTTCCTTAAGATATGGCCTTTGAAAGCATGCAATTATTAGCTGACAATATATCAGATATACATGCTCTAGTTTTTCAGATTATTAACACAGATACCTGAGAATACTGATGAGAGACTTCATATTGGAATGTTTTATAATTATTTATTGTATTACATCTGCAAATTATGAGATGAAGTTTTGGCATTTCTAATGATTTCTGTGAATTTTTCTTTTTTAAAGAGATTCTAACTCTTCAAATATTTATATGGGTAACAATATCTTCACTAAATATGGCAAAAGTACCTAAAAGTTTATATTCATTTAGGTAGTCTTCCTAGGGAGAGAAATAGGAACAGAAAATAAAAATTCCTAAGTGGCATTTCATCAACTGTTCTATCATTTTATTTTCCACTGTCTCTTTCTCTCTCTCTCTCTCTCTCTCTCTCTCTCTCTCTCTCTATATATATATATATATATATAGTTTATTAAAAATAATTGAAAATAATATGCTAGAGAGTAACATAATAAAGGGCACAAAATGCCCACATTACTCATTTTAGCAGATTGCATTTTCCAAAGATGACTAGAAACATATCTCCTAGAACCTTGCCATTCCACCATCAAAAGGTAGATAGAATCTGTGTTCCCTTTGAATATCCATGTTCCCCTTGAATCTCAGTGGACTTTCGTGACTGCCCAAACTAACAGAGTATAGCAGAATGATACCCTCTGAATTTCAATGCCAGGTCATAAAAATGCTGCACACTTTCACCTGCTTCTCTAGGATGTTCATCCTTGGATCTTTCAGCGTCCCTGTAAGCAATCTGATTACCCCGAGTCTACCATGCTGCAAGGAAGCCCAAACTACTCCACATGGAGAGGCCAGAAATCTACATGAACAGAATGCTTCCTTGCCAGTTTCCAACCATTTCAGCCACCTGCTGTTTTGACTGCAACCACAAGCCAGAACTTCCTGCTAAGCTACTTCTGAATTCTTGACCCACAGATACTGTGAGACATAATACAATAATTGTTGTTATTTTAAACCACTAAGTTTTAGAGTGATTCATTACATAGAAATAACCAGAGGACTTGTTTCTTTCATTATTTTAACAAATTGATATCTGAAAGGGATAACATGCTATAGAGGTTATAGTGCTAATGACAGGTAACAACAATTATTAGCACTGTGGCATTAATTTCTCTGAGAAACACTTGACTACAGAGAGAAATAACAGGAGCAGGTTAGTTGTTATAGGAAAGTAGAGCTGAGGAAAATTATGGAACAATGGATGAAACTAACATAAGATGGCTTTGAGCAACCATGGGACAGCATGGGGACAAGTGCTAGATTAAGGGGTGTATTGGAGGCAGAGAAAAGCTTTGTCTGCTAAATCAAGGAGTTATTAAAGTATAAGTCAGGGTCATGCTGACTGTGGCATGTGCCATATTTGCAAAGCTTCCCAGGGCACAGTGACAATCTGGCTTCTATACTGCACAGGGATGAAATTAGAATAATATGAGAAAAAAATGGTGAGTTTCTTTTTCTCTCATTTGGCTGAAAATGTCATTTAAAATAAGTTTTGGTACCTAAATTGGAACGCTGCATTTCCTAAAATTTACTTGTTAAATTGCTGTTTCCCTTGATATTAGAATGATTTCACGTAGAGGGACTATCTTAATATTATGTTTGATTGTCACTTAAAGTTATAATACTTCTTTTTAAAATGTATATATAATGTCTGGAAAAAAGCAAGAGTTTTTGTCTGTTTCTATCATTTCCTTCCTGTTTTCATTTATATGATTTCAGATCAGAGAATATAGGGTGAATAAGGGTAAGAGTCATTGCTTCTAGAATTCTTGGGCATAGAATGTTGCCAAGTTTAGGAGTGTACAAGACCATCTCCAAATATGTCGATTGTTCAGTTTCTATCCTTCTCAACGAGTTATCTTTTTGTTCCAAGTAATTGCAGTATGTTGTATGTTCACTGCAACACTATTCACAATAGCAAAAACATAGAGTCAACTTAGGTGCCTATCAATGGCAGACTGGATAAGAAAATGCATGGACTACCATGCAACCATAAAAAGAAAGAGATCGTGTCCTTTGCAGCAACAAGGATGAAACTAGAGACCATTATCCTAAACGAATTAACACAGGAACAGAAAACCAAATATCTCATGTTCTCATTTACAAGTGAAAGCTAAACATTGAGTACATATAGACACAAAGAAGAGACAAGAGACAATGAGGCCCATTTAAGGGTGGCTGGTGGGAGAAGGATGAAAATAAAAAAACTGCTTATCGGGTACCATGCTTATTACCTGAGTGACAAAATAATCTGTACATCAAACCCTCATGACACATAATTTACCTGTATAACAAAACTGCACATGTACCCCTGAAAATAAAAGTTTTTTAAGAGAAGAATTGCAGTATCTTAATGATGGCACTCAAAGTGATGGTGATAAATAGTGTTATCATGTACTACATTGCTATCTTTTCTATATTAGGAGCTTAACTCTGCAATAAATTTTATATAAACATTATTTAGGATTGTCTATCTTCTTGTTACCCAAAGGCATTTGAAGAAAACTAGAAGAATGTCACCAAGTTATCTCAATAACTCTACAGATTGCTGTGACACTCTAAAGCTATAAATGAAGGTAAATGTATCTGATCTATGAAGTCAGATTGTTCCCTCTATTGACGTGGAAGAAAGAGATTGCCACATTGATTTATAACTACTTTGGACACCATCAAATTAACTTATTGCCTTCCAGCAACAGGTTGTCAGGTTTACACAGAAGACCATGATTCCTGGGGTGGCTTCAAGCATGACCTGAGCAATCTAGCCAACAGGGTAGGGCAAACATCAATTACTTGAGCATAACTTGTCAAAATCCTAACTGTACTAGAAATAGCACACTCCTACTCATCATAAAAAAGGATATGAGAGGATTTTTGTAATGCCTCCACCATTTATAAGCCAAGAGAGTCTCTCCCTATGCCAATCTCACCTTAACTCACCAGCTTAAAGCAGAACCACATAATCATTGCTCTTAAGATGATTTTAATAAAGAAATACAGAATATATTATATAGGCTTAGATCATGACCTAAAACTGCTCTCTGGAACACTGATTTATTGAATTGTATTTTTAACAGAATTAATTTTCCTGGATTGGTAATAAGTATGTTATTAAAGCCTGGAAAAAAAATTGAAACTGTGTAAAGTAATCCCATTTCATTCCCATTGTTGAAACAGAGAGAAATCCAGATATTTAACTGAAATGGATTCGACACTGTTAAAAAGCTGGTGAGTCTGATGATTGCAAAGGTATCAGAGGGAGGTGGTCTTGGGGAGTGATTAATAACTTCCCTTGTCTAGAGGCACATAGTTGTAATCATAGTAGAAAGCCAGTATCTGTGGGTGCAGCGCACCATCATGGCACATGTATAAATATGTAACTAACCTGCACATTGTGCACATGTACCCTAAAACTTAAAGTATAATAATAATAAAATTAAATTAAATTAAAAAAAAAGAAAGCCAGTATCTGAAAGTCAAGGAAAATGGGGTAGATTGCAAGATAAATGCAGAACACTCTCCTATACATGGGCTCACCAAGTCACCAGTGAAGAGGCAGGTCTGAAAGCCAGCATTCAAGATGGATCTGAGGGTTTACTGATTCTTTATTCATCTTAGAGTGGTAGGTAAATGACAACTCCTATAGTTACCTCTCTTCCTTGTCTTGCAACAGTTTCAATCAATATCAGCCTGTCTAAGTAGTGTAACAGCAGAGAAAAAGATCACAGTCTGACAGTGTTTCAGATTAGTTTTTATAATATATCATACTTTTAATTGATTCTATATAAGAAAGAGCTCATTTCCATTTTAAAACAACAGCTTTAATATTTTCTGTTTACATAAGCATAGTGATGGCATTAAACAGAAAGAAATAGGCTTTCTCCCATTAAATCTCTATAAAGTATTTGTTTATTACAATGCACTTGCTTGTTAATTGGTTAGTTTCTTGCTTAAGCAAGCAGATAACCTAGAAAGGATAGCGTCATTACTCAGCAACTAAAGGAAGTAGCTGTAAACGTACTACCAATTTCAAGTTATTGGTCTTTCCCTGTGGTTCCAATGACTAGACAATCTGAATCCTGAGAGAGGAAACACGACCTGTTTGACAGATCTAAAGGACATAATACCACTTAAAAAGAGCTAAAGCATTTATTAAAATCAAACAGTATTAAGTATCCCCTTCATCATTTCAGTGTTGCTGTCATTCTTTGCTTTCAAGCTATTTTCCGCAGTCTCTGTCATACTTTTGTCCTTAGAATGACAATATTCCCCTGGCAATAGACTTTATGAGTGTTGATAAGAGCGTTATTAATAATAGTATTATGATAGCAATTGAATTAGTATTGTTACCTTGGAAACACTTCTTGTAACTACTCATCTTTGTCAAGAAATATTTGTAGAGTTATCTGTTTATAAAATATGTCATATATGTTTGTACTGAGATGACGAGAAACATGATCAAATTACAGTAAATAAGATATAACGACTTCATAAAGCCATAGACTATACCCGAGTCCCCATGATTAAGCCCACTTCTTCCTATTTTCCTTGCATTGCACTCAACCCTTCAGCTTCAATTTCATCATCTGTAAACTGATGATAAAAATAACTTTTTTCTCTGATTATTTTGAATTGTATAAAATAAGGAATGGAAAGTACATTGTAAATACTGAGTCAATATCAGTTAATTTTGTTTTGGTTGTTATTTGTGCTTTTTCTCATGCATATTTGATTCAGTCACCTGTCCATTTGGAGAATATTGCACATAATTCTGGGAAATGTTATAGTAATTATCTAAGAACAAGTTAGTTATATTCAAGGTAATACTGAATATTTAGTACTCTTTGTTTCTTGTAAACATGTGTATGTGTGCATGTGTTAAGTATGTAAGATCAAATTCCTAAAATAGACTACGGAGTAAATTAGCCATTAGAGAATATCAGCAGAAAGTTAGACAGACATTAATTATAATTTAAAAGGCTGTATACCAGCAAAGTATATACGTTTCTGCTGGAAAAGCTTTAAAAATAGAAAATATTTTGTATGCTCTACGTGCACTTATGTGAAAGCTGCATGTAATATAGTCAAAAATCGAAACAAGAAAACATAATGGTTGAGAAATTAATATAAACTAAAAATAAAATGTTAAGCATTACCACTGAATGAATGGACTTTCTCTTGGCCAAGGGTACCCCAGAAAAAAAACTTAAAAACAGTCCTCAGGCATGATGAGATGGGAAGTCAGTCACTCCTCATTATACTTCCTTCCTTTTGGGGTGTAGACGCAACTGACCAGCATTAATGTTAAAATTGAGATCATAAGATGACAGAAGAGACTCTGTGGTAATAAGATACCAAATTATTCATAGGATCTAAGGCCTTAGCAGGCAAGGGTTAAGACTCTTAAACTTAAAGAATAAATTATGTTTTAACCTTCCACAAGGTTTTTATTTTTCTCTAGCAGCTAAACAAGCACTGGCCATGAGATAAGCAATATTAAAACAATTACACGGCCGGGCGCGGTGGCTCACGCCTGTAATCTCAGCACTTTGGGAGGCCGAGGCGGGTGGATCACGAGGTCAGGAGATTGAGACCATCCTGGCTAACATGGTGAAACCCCGTCTCTACTAAAAATACAAAAAAAAATTAGCTGGGCATGGTGGCGGGCGCCTGTAGTTCCAGTTACTCGGGAGGCTGAGGCAGGAGAATGGCGTGAACCAGGGTGGCGGAGCTCGCAGTGAGCCGAGATTGCGCCACTGCACTCCAGCCTGGGCGACAGAGCGAGACTCCGTCTCAAAAAAAAAAAAAAAAAAAAAATTACAGTTCAGCTCACAGATACTGACTAACCGACCTCCTGTTCCACAAGCCATAACTATAGCTTTGATTGTACAAGACAACTGATTTCAGGACTTTCTCCTGATAAGAAGCCCACTAACCATAGACTGATTCTGGCAACTTTACAGAGGCTGTAAGCTTCTATGTCTTCATGTCCAGAAAAGCCCCTTTCATGTATAGGTCCCAATTGTAATACATTAAAATGTTAAGGTCTTCGCCCCAAAGTGAACATGGGTCATATGTTACATGCATGTTTGTTCAATAGATGTGTCAGGATCTTCATAAATATTCATAGCTCCTCCTGTAACCTGTTGAATATGTATGTTTAGCCAATCTGTTCAGCATAAAGCTCCTACCCCAATCCCCCTTCTTTAAAGTGCCTGTCTCTGGTCTTTGCGGGAGGCATGCTTCTCAGCCTGCAGGATGGACCCCTTACAGGCTGTAACCCCTTATAAAAATAAATCTTCCTCTCCTTTTCTAAATTTGTAAATTGTGTGGGTTCTTTAATTAATGTGAGTATACAAGATTGTAAGGAAAATTTGTCCTTTCATTCCAGTATCTTCAAATATTGTTATAATTCATTATGTGCAATGAATCATAATAACTTTTTAGAACTGTATTTAGACACTATTTATTTGCTAGTGGTAACAGTAATCCTAGTGATTTATGGATAATATATCCTTCATATTATTGATTTAGTTGAAAAAAAGTATGTGTTTGTGTGTGTGTGTGACAGAGAGAGAGAGAGAGAAAGAGAGAGAGAGAGAGAGATCATGAGATCATTGTCTATTTGTTAGATCTGCCCACTTCCTTTCTATACTAAAATTCCAGAACAGGAGCAGAGACAGGTAATATACATTTCAGCAGGATTCTATTAACAGATGAAAAACTCAGAGGCATGTGAGCTAGAACTTTTGTCTACTATAATGATTGCTAATATATTTTATTTTTCTCACTAGCCGATTGCCACAGACACATGCTCCATTTGTGTACTGTACACAAATGTGAGCGTATGAGACAAGGTAGAATGAGATGTTATTGTCTTTGTTTCAATATATAGAAGAATATCATATCATATAGGATTCTGGTAATCAACCCCAAACCCATTAACTGTGGTAGCATTTTGGTTGGGCATGGAAGCTTTAATTAACTTACTGAACATACATGAACATTGATTAGAATTATACCATGATGCTCAGCAAAATGATAAAGGAAACTGTGTAAGATTAGCAGCGTTAAAAATGAATGGTGATATGTCAAAGAAAATTCTGTGTCCACTAGCAAACAAACTGAAAAGATCTTGATCTACTTATCAGTATTATTTTACATTTATAAATTTTAATTTATCATTGATGATAATAATAGCAGCTCTCTCTATCAAGTACTCATGATATGCCAGGCCACATGTAAGCACTTTATATATATAAAATCTCATTTCACTCTCCTGATAATCCTATCTGAGTTAGGTGTGCTTATCTGCATTTCACATAGAAGATAATGAAGGCAGGCTGGATGCAGTGGCTCACACCTGTAATCCCAGCAATCTGGGGGACCAAAGCGGAGGATCACTTAAGCCTAGGAGTTTGAGACCAGCCTGGACAACATAGTGAGACCCTGTCTCTACTAAAAATTAAAGCAAAAAAAGAAGCAATGAAGGCATATAAGACTTTTAATTCTACGGCCGTGGTCTCATTCCCATTAAGTAGAAGACCAGGTCTTAAAATTCAATCCAAATTATTTAATTTTATCTTTTGTTCTCTTACTGAATGTCTAAAACCTTAAGTTCAAAGTATTCCTGTATTGATCTTTGTTTATCTTGAAAAATCAAAAATTAAATTAATAATTTTGCAAGACAGTCTCAAGACATATACTGTGGACACAAATATATAATAAATGACCAATTGATAGAGGAAGATGAATTCCACTACCCACTCTCAAGATAAAGATAATCAGGATCCCTGCTTAAAGTTCACCAAACATGAACAAAAGGAAAGAAAATCCAGGTGGTTATCTAAGATATCTAATTATTTTCACAAAACATTTTGATAGTGAATGAAATCTTTTGGTTTACTTTACAGTTGTGCCCATATAGCAATGAGGCTGCTTGCAAAATGCTTGCAAAATTGGACTATTTTTAGAGAGAATTTACATTCTTTGAATAAAGTAACAATACGTACTTTATTCTGTGAGAAAAAGTTGCTATATAAAGACAGTCATAGTTAGTTTAAACAAATAAGACTTTTTCATGTTATAATGCCGGTGAAATCGCTAAATGACTATGGATTTCCTTTATGGTTTTTAAGGATGTTAACAGCTTCCCAGTCCTCTAACTAATTGATCAGTAAGATTGATACAAAAGTGACAATTACAGAATTGTTTGCCTTTACCTTGGATGGTATTCTTTTAATTTTGTTCTAGAAAAGCCAATTTTCCTATGATTAGAAAGATAGTGAAACAGTTATTGAGATTTTATGTAATCAGACATGAAACAAATCTATTCCCAGGCTAAGGTGCTTTGAAATAATAATGGTGCTGTCCTACATCCATGGAGATGATGTCAAGTACTGACCTCACACCAGTGCAAGAGTAAAAAATATCTCATAAGAGAAACAAATGGTTTATGCAATTGTGGCCTGTATTTTTTTTAATCACAAATCTCAACTACCCAGTATCTGTATTTAAAAAAAAAAGTCTGAGCTTTGCTGTGCAATCACAGAGAGAAAAAATTTGAGGGAAAAACTGCTTCCTACTGACTATTTCTATTTTTGTCTTTGTGTTTGCAAGTGAGTTTTGATTGCTGGATTGTACAGGCGAGACTTTTCTGGTTGACACTGTAGAAAAGCACGGCAAAAATCAAGTTTAGCTACAAAACACGGAAGTCTCAGGAATGTGGCAAATCCCAAATCAGAGGATAAAAACAGAGTAATTTTGAAATGTAGGTAGACAATAAAAATATAAGGAAAACACTTTCATCCAGATAGTGTATTTTGATAGAATGAACTTATTCAAAGAGGTATTTTTTCCACGGTAATTGTGGTGCAAATTTGATTTGACTTAAATTTTTTTTAGGAACAAATTAATATGGCATTAGAATATTACACAATTAAAGATAAAAGAAGCTAAGAAACACCAAAAATAAGTAAATGATAATCTTACATTTTTAGATATTACATTACTATTACTACTACTATTGTTACTACTTCTATCAGTACTACTAATAACAATAAGTAACATTTAATAAAAATTACTGTATGTTGAGGTCTTTTAAGTCTAACATTATACTGAATGCTAACAGTAATCTGAGAAGGTAATTATTATTCTTCTCATTTCTAGTTTGGTAAATTGAGTTTTAGAGAAGTTATGTGACTTGCTGAATTTCAAACAGTTAATAAATGTGATATCCAGGATCTAACCTCAAGTATGTATAACTCCAAATCTGTGAGCTTGTCTATTACACTAAATTGCTTTTTACACTTAAATATTAGTGAGCGAAAAAAATCTGTTAGAACTGCTTAGATTTGCTATGAATTTTAAATCTTGGTTCAAAATATTCTATAGATTTATTCCCCACATTTGTACCCAATCATTCCAACTGAGAAATAGTTGAGATATTTTACGTACCACTGGAAAGTATTATCAACAATTGTTGTCAAGTTTATGACTCTGTACTGATTTTAAAATACAATGTGCATTGAGAAGCAGCATTACAAAAAGAGAGAAAGAAAGAGAAAGAGATTAAAAATAATTATTCAAAGAAGCATTATTTTAACAAACAGAAAGGTTCATATTTGTCTAGCCTACAGTTTTGGGACTCCTTAAAGAAACTGGTAGAATAATGAAGAAATTTGAAGAAGGAATGTGGAAACACATATTATAGATTAAGAGAGGATGAAGAAGGACTCTCTAAAGACAAATCAAACTATTTTGGTCTATCAGTATGTCTTCATTCAAATTGAATGCAAATGTTACTCCTAGCAGGGATGGGGGGTGGGAGGGGACAGTTTCACAAGCTATAACACATTCTTTTTAGTTAACATTTCTTCACTCTTGTCTGTATCATATTTCCACTCTCTAACTCCAAAGTTTAAAAACGAACAGTTTTACAAATTACTTTCTGTTTTTTTCCCCCTTGACTGCAATTTTTTCTGAAAGTACGTGTTTGGCTGTCTTTAAGACATAAACATTTTAATTCCATTTTGGCTCTGGAGACCTTAATTCAGCTTTTCAATGTAGAAAGGCACAGTGAATAAATGTCTATCATGCATTGGTTCTTTAATGACTACAGGGGCATTATGAGATTAAAAATTCAGAAAGGAAGTTGCTTGGTTTTTAGCAGATGCAGGGCGAGAAGTTTCCAAAATCTACCAAATCTAAATCCCTTTGAACTTGAAATACAAAGTAAATTCACTTTTCTCAAAAGTCTTTCTGATACCAGTGTCAGAGCAGTTTTGACCCCAGTAAGTTATTTGTAAAGAGTTCTAAATTAAATAAACAAATAACATAAGGTCAATAACAGAAAACATTTCCTGACCTTACTGTTTTCATAATTTCATAATAGGGTCTTTCAAAATGACACTAAAAACTCCTAATGTTTAATTAAATTTCTAAACTAATTATTGGATAAATAATCACAGATAATGTCTTATGAAAAAAGTGTCCAATTATTTTAAGAAGAGATAAATAATACATCATATTTTATATCATCTTGGATATAAAGAAGATGCTAATTGGGGAACTCCTTTTGAAAAATAAGTTTTGACGAACTGTTTAATAAATCAAATGCAGCATTCACTGGTCTGTTTAGAGAGATCACTACATTTCTCAGCATCTTATGCGATTTTATACTTTCACAGTTTTCCCAGGCAGTTATTTCTACAATATTATTTGCCTAGCATTTGGCAAATTCTAGGGAAAACATTAAATATATTGTTTTATAATGTATAATTTATTTGCCTTTCTCCTACACTAAACTGTGAGTTCACCTAAAGCAAGCCACCATGACCTGCTTCTAGCACAATTGTACATCTAGCACAATTGCCAGCACAAAGATTGTTCAGAAAATGTGATGGTTAAAGCATATGGGGTTGAATACTTGCCTTGACTTCAGAAGAGCACTGATAATTTTTTCTATTAATGTAAGTAATATTCATGTTGAATTCATTTGCCAAGTCCATCTGAATAAAAATATAAAAATGAAATATATTCTTGTTTTGGTCATTATACTTGTATTAATTGAGTAATTTCCCAACTCTTCATATGGTTTCAGTTAAAAACATACAGCCGCAATAAGTGAAGAACAATGCTCTAAGATTAAATAATTCAGGCCAGGGGTGGTGGCTCACCCCTATAATCCCAGTACTTTGGGAGGCCAAGGAGGGCAGATCCCTTGAGCCCAAGAGTTCAGGACCAGCCTGGGCAACATGGTGGGACCCCATCTCTACATAAAATACAGAAATCAGCCCAGCATCATGGCATACACCTGTAGTCTCAGCTATTCAAGAGGATGATGTTGAGGATCGTTTGAGCACAGGAGATCAAGGCTATGGTAAGCTGTGATCGGATCACTGCACTCCAGCTTGGGTGAAGGAGTGAGATTCTGTCTCCAAAACATAAAAAATTTAAATAATTTGATCATTTCTATCATTTCTATCAAGGATGTTGTGGTTTAAGGTCACTTTTCTGAGGCCAGAGAAGTGAGATGGGACTTCCAAAATTATTCACATGGCTCCAGTCAATAAATAAGCAAGCAAGCAATCTAGCTAGCAAACAAAAGAAACAACAATAATTTTAAAAACCAGCTGTAAATAAAAGAAGGTTTTAAATATCCAAACTGTCTCTGTGTTGATTAAAATTTAATGGATAGATGCCAATCCTCCAGTGCACTTTATGCTATATAGATCTGGCAGGAGTAAATAGCACATGTTACAGAATATCTTAATAAGACATAGAGTATGTGGCTAATATTACAGTGCATCTATGAGCATCTATAAAAGTTTAAAGATTTGAAAGTTGTTTAGTGTTTCAACTTGTTTAGGGCTCTCTGGGAGGTGCACATATTGATTGCACTTTTCTTGTGGCATTTACTTCACAGGGACATTGATGAAGATTCTCAAAATTCATGCTAGAACTTGAAAGGGAAATAAATGAAATGGAAACCCAAATCATAACATATTGTTAAGCGTTCAAATTTAAACATATTGAAATCCAAACCTGTAGAGGCTTGCATAGTAATATTAACTTCATCTGGTCTTCAAACATTGCACTTTTAAATCTTCACAGACTAGAAAACAATCTTACTGACCTATTTATGTTATTAACCTTGATCCTGTATATCGATGTTTTAGATATCCCACAAAACTTGCAAAAAACAATCCAGTGCTCTATGTTGATATGCAGCCCTGTGCCGCTCAATGTTTTGGTCAGCGACAGATTACATATATGACTGTGGTTCCATAAGATTATAATGGAGCTGAAAAATTCTTACTGCCTAGTGACTTCGTAGCCATCATAATGTTGTAGTGCAATGTATTACTCGTGTTTGTGGTGATGCTGGTGTCTACAAACCTATTGCACTGCCAGTCATATAAAAGCATAGCATATACAATTATGTACAGTACATAAGACTTGATAATAATAATTAACAATTATGTTACTAGTTTATGTATTTACTATATTACAATTTTTATCATTATTTTAGAGTGTACTCCAACTTTGGAAAAGAAATTAGTTGTAGAAGAGTCTCAGGCATGTCCTTCAGGAGGTGTTTCAGAAGATGGCATTGTTATCATAAGAGATGACAGCTTCATGCATACTATTGCCTCTGAAGATCTTCCAGTGAGACAAGATGTGATACTGATGATCCTGACCAGGTGTAGGCCTAGCTGAACATATGTGTTGGTGTTTTATTTTTTAACAGAAGAGTTTAAAAAATCAAAATGTTAAAAACAGAAAAAGTCTATAGAATGAGAATAAAAACAAATAAAATATTTTTGGGCCCTGTATAATAGGCTAAGGTTCATTTACTATTGAAGAAAGAAAAATAGACTTCCTTCAATTTAGTGTATCCTAAGTGTACAGTGTTGATAAAGTCTACAGTAGTGTACAGTAGTGTCCTAGGCCTTCACATTCATTCATCACTCACTCACCCAGAGCAACTTCCAGGCCTGCAAGCTCATTCATGGTAACTGCCCTATATGAGTGTACCATTTCTTCTTTTTTATACCGTATTTTTACTGTACTTTTTCTAGGCTTAGATATATAAATACTTACCATCATATTATATGTGTCTACAGGTTACAAATATATACATTAATGTGCTGTACAGATTTGTAACCAAAGAACATTAGGCTATATAATACAGCTTAGGTGTGTAGTAAGCTATACCTTCTAGATTTGTGTAAGGACATTCTATGATGTTCTCATAACAAGGAAATCACCTAACAATGCGTTGCTCAGAAAGTATCTCCATCATTAAATGACACATGACTGTACTTAATAAACCTGCACAACAAACACTACTGGGCGTGTGTCAGTACAATTTACATGAAAATTTTACAGTTATAATTTGTTCAAGAAAAAATTACATAGAAGATATTCAAATGTAAGGACCACAAGAAACAAGTTGTATCTTTTCTTTAATGTGAAGGAAGTGTGTAATGATGGAAAGAGTATAGGTATTTGGCCAGATGTAGGTTTGTCTTCTCTATCAGTCATTGACTAACTGTGTGACTTTTGCCAAGTTACCTATTTTCTCTAAGGCTCTGTGTTATCATCTGCAGACAAAGTCAAAAATACCTACCTTCAGGTATAGTACATTGCAATGTCCCTGTCACATAGTGGGGACTCAATAAAAGTTAGCTGCCTTCTTTCTTACAGAAAAAAAAAATGTACACATTTTGTGGAATTACAGACTGAAGAAATGTCATCTTTATCCCTGCTTTTTACTATTGTCACTGAGACTGCTTTGCTCTTCTCAAATTAGGACTAATGAAAAAGCTCCTGTTACAAGGAAAACATGGGCAATTGTTAATACATAATAATCTAGCCATTAATGAAGAGACTATTTTATAGGAAATAAGAGCATCAGGGAAATCAAGCAACTAAATTATTATTAATAGTTTCAGGTACTAGACTAAGTGTCTACATGACCCCAAAACACACTGGGTAAGCCTCTATTCCTGAACAGGAGTTAGTTATTTTAGGCCTTCCGTGTATCCTGGTTAATTCTTCTCATTCAGGGTACATAGTTTAAAAAAAGAACTCGTGTTAGTAGGGAAAATGATCTAAAATAAAATAGTAAGTTGAAACAGTGGAAAATGACACTTTTCAAACAGCATTCACTTGAATATAAATTTAAAACTGTAAAAATGATTATTGGCTGGTAAAAATAAAAACACATTCAAATTTCTAAGGTTTTAGTAAATGCTTGCCATTTCTACAATTGGAAAACTATTTTAGATAGGTACTTGTCCTTTTTGCATGTGTTCTTGTGTAGTAATATTTATGAAAATAATGGAGTATTTATGTCAGTGATATTATTAATCTGAGTAGTACATTAGTCAAAACCTTTTTCCCACGGGAACCAATCTCTTACTTTAACATGTAAGTTAATATAAAAATCGTATTATTACATTTTGATAAATTTGAAAGAATGTGGCACCGAAATAAATCTATTTAATTAAATAAGGAACACATATGCTAATAAATTTTTTTCATACTACATACTAAATCCCTCCTTGAACTTATTTTACAGTGATATTAAATGTCTCTCAAATTTCCTATTTTGCCCTACAAGTTATCTAAAGGCTATAATTATTCCACTGTATCATTTTTAAAAGGTAATCAACTATGTTTTGTGAAAGAAAAATAAAATGGAAAAATTAATTTATCATGGAACAGTTTCATTACCACCAATGGAAAAAGTCAATGCATAGACACGTCTGGCCAGGGCATTCTTTGGCACTGCAATGATGCCAAATTTGGTTATGCTAAATAATTTTAAACCAACAGTGTACCTAACAATGCTTATTTACTCTACAGAATACATATACTTAATTTTCAAAAGATCATCTTTTTCTTACCCTATTCTCTCAAAAATAGTAACTAATGTTTCTTTTCTTTGCTAAAAAGTCAGAGAAACTATCCTCTTCTATTAAAAAAACTTAATATCCTACTGCTTCCTTATCATATATTCCATTTTATCTGTATTGTAATAAACAAAGAGGAAAAAGGACAGTATCTTTTTATTTCCATTTAATATAAAATCATAGAATGTCCCATGTTAAAATTATAAAACTGAATATTACGGACAAATTTGTAGCACACACACTGTAATTGCTTACTTTCTGGAGTACATGAAGTAAGCACTAGTAGTGAGGGAAGATAATTCCTGTGAGCTACTGTGGAAAAAAAAAATGCAAACATTTAATTATATTTCATTCTTTGAGAATTAACTTTCAATTGCCAAATGTGGTGGCTTTTCATTTTAACTGAACAATATCAATCTGATATATTTGACTACTTGGGTTTTGGTGGGCTTTTTTCTCTCTTTTATTTGAAGAACTAAATATACAAATAATAATTACCTGTGGTGATGGCACATCAACTAAGATTACAAAGTTATCATAAAAAAGAGAAGAAATATTAAAAGCAAATATTTACCACTTAGAATCTAACACTGACAATTAACTAGTGCAGAACACTTCCAGTTTTATAAGGCTGACTGTATCTCAAAATGGATTCAAGGTGAAAAATAAAACTGACTTGAAAGCAGAAAACAGTCTACCATAACTGAGTGTCTTTTATGTATGAGGTGAGTTTTATGCATTATTTCCTACTTTATAAATCATCGAACGATTGGTATCATCCTCATTTTACATTTCTATTGTTCTTAAATGTTTTATATATTAAAGTTATTCTCCATCCGTTTCTCATCTAATAGAAATTAGATAAACTGGAAATTTAGTTGAGGTCAAAGTCACTGTACATAAAATCATTTGGGTTACTCGGAAAACTCAAAGGCTGAGAAATTCATTATTTGACTAACTCATTGATCTAATTTCTTATTATATATCAAACTGCTCAGGTTATTTTACTCAGAGTTTCAGGTGAACTAGGACTTACAAATAAAATCTACAATGCGCTACATTTACGAAAACGAAATCTACATTTTTAACTATTTCTCAAAATTTTGTAGAAGTGTTTTACTGGAAGAGAGTTCATATGCTCTTGAGGAGATAACACTTATCCTCATCATTTTTGCTTTTCACTCATACCTGAGAATGAATGGAATAAATATTTTAAAATTACCATTTAGAGGCCAGTGGGGTGGCTCAAGCCTGTAATCCCAGCACTTTGGGAGGTCAAGGCTTGCAGATCACTTGAGGTCAGGAGTTCGAGACCAGACTGGCTAACATGGTGAAACCCCATCTCTACTAAAAATATAAAAATTAGCCCAGTGTGGTGGGGGGCACCTGTAATCCCAGCTACTCAGGAGGATAAGGCAGGAGAATCAATTGAACCTGGGAGGCTGAGGTTGCAATGAGTCGAGCCTGGGCAACAGAGCAAAACTCCATCTCAAAAATAAAATAAAATACAATAAATAAATAAGTAAATTACCATTTAGAAAAAACATGATGTTAACACAAAGAAGACTAAGTAGGGGCACATGTTTCCGAAAGTAAAAGATTTTAGAATGCGGTGATGTTGACAAAATTAAAAGTTCTATTCCCAAATTTAATTAAACATAAATTTTCAGCCTGATCTCTTTACTGGTCTGCATTTCAACCAGAACAGAAAAGCAAAACATGAGAGAATACCGGACACGGTGGGGAAAATTGTTTAGAATCAGGTAACAAAGGAAAGTTGAAGAGAGTAGTACATAGGAAACAAAGGCATAACAAAAACAGCAACAGAGTGAAGCAGGTGGTGAAAAACAGAGCAAAAAAACCCGAGGAAGAAAACAAGAATGATGGTTAAACTGAAGGAAATAGAAACTAGAGTGTCTGGAAATTGAACCAAACTTTTCTTTTCCTTAAAAAATTAATAATACAATTGTAAAAGTGTCATTCTACACCAACAAGGAAGAGATGTTTGAAAAGCAGCATACAGCAAATCTAGATCAGTATTAAATAGAAAATTGCTGCTATACAGGTAGTTGTATTTTGTCCCTGCTATCACTGGCTTGGGGGAAATGCCTCCGGCAGTGAGAGATGCACCATTAGAAAGTGATTTCCTTTGTTTCCTTAGTGGAGGGAAAATCCCATTTAATTTTAGACATGGTAGAAGTTACAGGTCTGAGTTTGTTTTGCTGTAAATTTCTTTCTTTCATTGTGAAAAAATATAACATAAAATTTACAATTTTAACCCATTTTAAGTGTGCACTTCAGTAGCATTAAGTACACGCACATTGTTGTGAAACTGTCATCACCATCCATCTCCAGAATTTTTATCTTTCCAAACAAAACCCCCAAAGCCATTAAATAATAATTTCCTCACTCTTCCCTTCCCTCCAGCCCCTGGCAACCACCATCTTACTTTCTATTTCTATGAATCTGACTAATCTAGGCACCTCTTTAGGTGGACAACGTGGAATCATCCAGTATTCGTCCTTTTGTGAATGGTTTAATTCACTTAGCATAATGATTTCAGGGTTCATTCATGTTGTAGCATATTGCAGAATTTCCCTCATTTTTTAAAGCTGAGTGATATTCTATTGTATATGTATATACCACACTTTGCTTATCTGTTTATCCATCAATAGACACAAATATTTCTTCCATCTCTTTGCTGTTATGAAAATGTTGCTATAAATATGGGTACACAAATATCTGTTCAAGATGCTGCTTTCAATTCTGTAGCATTTATACCCAGAAGTGGATGTGTTGGATCATATGTCAGTTCTGTTTAATTATTTGAAGAACTATTCATTATCTCAGTTTCACAACAGCTGCACTATTTTACATTCCAACCAACAATGCACAAGGCTTCCATTATCTCCACATCTTCACCAACACTTGGTATTTCCTTTTCTTTTTTTAGTAATAGCCTTTCGAATCGGTGAGAAGTGGTTTCTTGTTGTGGTTTTAATTTGTATTTTTCTAATAATTAGTGATATTGAATATCTCTTAATATGCTTATTAGCAATTTATATATTATCTTTGGAGAACTTATTCAAGTCCTTTGTCCATTTCTTAATCTGAGTGTTTAGTTTTGTTGTTGTTGTAGGAATACTTTAGCTATTCTGGATATCAACTCCTTATGAGATATATGGTTTGCAAATACTTTCTCTAATTCTGTGGGTTGCTTTTTCACTCTGTCGACAGTGTCCTTTGATGCACAAAAGTGTTTGTTTAATTTTAATGTATTATTTTTGTTACCTGTGCTTTTGATTCCATATCCAAGATATCATTATCAAATCTAATGTAATGAAGCTTTTCCCCTATGTTTTCTTCTAACATTTTTATATATTACCCCTTATGGTTAAGGTCGTTGATTCATTTTGAATTAATTTTTGTATATGGCATAAGGTAAGTGTCTCACTTCATTATTTTGCATGTGCATATCCAGATTTCTAAGACCACTTGTTAAATAGACTGTCTTTTCCCTATTCAAAAGTCTTGGTACTCTTGGCGAAAATCATTTAACCATATACATGACAGTTTATTACTGGGATTTCTATTCTATTCCATCGGTCTATATACCTGTATTCATACCAGCATCCACACTGTTCTGATCACTATAGCTTTGTAGTAAGTTATGAAATCAGAAAGTGCTAGGCCTCCCACTTCGTTCTTTTTTAAGACTGTATTAGCTATTCAAGGTCCCTTGAGATTCCATATCATTCTTAGGATGTATTTTTCTAGTTTTGCAAAAAGTATTATTGGGATTGATAGGGGTTGCACTGAATATGTAGACAGCTTTGGGGGGTATTGACTTCTTAATAACACTAAGTCACTCAGTTCATAAACACAGTATATCTTTCCATTTATTGGTGTCTAATTTCTTTCAGCAATATTTTGTAGTTTATAGTCTACAAGTCGTTCACCTCCTCAGTTAAATTTATTCCTCAGTATTTTAATCTGTTTGAGGATATTTTAAATGGTATTGCTTTCTCAAATATTTTTGTGCTCATTTTTAATGTATAGAAATATAACTAATTATGTTAATTTTATGTCCTCCAACTTTACTTGTAATGTATTACACTGATTTTTAGTTCTAAGAATTTTGTAGAACTTTCACAACTTGAGGCACTTAAATAATTGTTATGATTGCCATGAGACCTTCATGCAAATGGAGAAAATGATTTAACACATTTTTAGTTCTAAGAATGTTTTTGTAGAATCTTTAGGGTTTTGTATTTACAAAATCAGGCGATAATGCATATAAGACAACTTAATGTCTTTCTTTCAAATCCATTCCATTACAATGTTAAATAGAAGGAATGATAGCAGACACCCTATTCCTGTTCCTGATCTTAGAGGTAAAGCTTACAGACTTTCATATTATGTTAGCTGTGGGTTTTTTATATGTAGTTTTTATTATGTTGAGATAATTTCCTTCTATTCTAGGTTGTTGCTTATTTTTTATCATAAAAGGGGATGTTGAATTTTGAAAGTGTTTTTTGTACATTGAGATGATAATTTTTTTCCTTCATTCTGTTAATGTAGTGTATTATATTGTTTGATTTTAATACACTGAAACATCCTTGTATTCCAGAAATAAATCTCACTGGGTCATGGTATATAATCCCTTAAATATGTGGCTGAATTTGGTTTGCTAATGTTTGTTGAGAACTTTTCATCAATATTCATCAGCAGTATTGGTCTGTAGTTTTCTTTCCTTGCAGTGTCTTTTTCTGACTTTGGTATCAGGATCACACTGACCTTACAGAATGAGTTGGTAAGTATTTCCTTTTCTATAATTTTTTGGAAGAATTTGAAGGGGATTGATGTTAACTTTTCTTTAAATGTTTTGTAGAATTCACCAGTAAACACATCTGGTCCTGAGCTTTTCTTTGTTAAGAGTTTTTTATTTTTTGTTCCCCTTCCCCTCCCAATGGATTCTTGCTCTGTTGCCCAGGCTGGAGTGCAGTGGCACGATCTTGGCTCACTGCAACCTCCACCTTCCAGGTTTAAGCAATTCTACTGCCTTAGCCTCCGGAGTAGCTGGGATTACAGGCACGCACGACCACGCTCGGCTAATTTGTGTGTGTGTGTGTGTGTGTGTGTGTGTGTGTGTGTGTATTTTTAGTAGAGACGGGGTTTCACCATGGTGGCCAGGCTGGTCTTGAACTCCTGACCTCGTGATCTGCCCACCTTGGCCTCCCAAAGTGCTGGGATTACAGGTGTGAACCACAGCGCCTGGTCAAGGGTTGTTTTTTTTTTTTTAATTATTATTATTATTACTGATTCAATCTCTTTACAATTATAGTGCTATTTGGATCCTTCCTATCTCTTTCATTCTTGATATTTCTCATCTTTCATTTATGATATTAATTAAATATTAGTCTTTTTTTTCTTCATAAATTTAGTGAAATTCTTGTCAATTTTGTTGATCTTTTTAAAGAAACAATTCTTAAGCTCATGGATAGTCTCTATTGTTTTTCTATTCTCTATTTTACTTACTTCTGCTCTAGTCTTTATTATTTCTTTCCTTCTGTTCACTTTGGGTTTAGTTTGTTCTTTCTCTAATTCTTTATGATGTAAAGCTAGGTTGTTGATTTGAGATTATTTTTCTTTTTAATGTAATTGTTTATAGCTATAAATTTTCCTGCTTTCAATGCATCCTACAAGTTTTGGTAAATTGTTTTATTTTTATTTGTTTCAAGATATTTTATATTTTCCCTTGCAACTTCTTCCTTGACCTATTGGTTGTTTAAGAAATTTCCACATATTTTGGATTTTCCTTCTATCCTTGATTTCTAGTTTCATTCAATTGTGATTGAAAAGGATACTTTGTATAATTTTAGCCATTTAACATTATTGACTTGTTTTATGGCTGTCATATGGTCAATTCTGGAGAGTGTTCTAAGTGTACTTGAGAAAAATGTGTATTCTCCTATTTTTTAAAAAAACACAAAACCTGTTCACTGCCATTGTCACCCATTGTACATTTGGTTCAACAGTTTTCAGAGAAAAAAGATGTTTATTCTTTTATGTTAGTTAAATTTTGCTCTGGATAAGTGCAGCAAAATAGTAAGAAATGTAAGGGTGGTGGCTAGTTTGAATGTACCTCTGTCATTCAATCATGATTTACTGTATTCATAACACATATGCATATGCCAGCTTCCTCTAGGTAGATTCCACTTTAAAAGTTTGTGAAAAGATGTGATGAAGTAACATCAAATGTATATGCTTAACAGGTGTTATAAACTGAATAGATCCCCCCAACCCAAATTCATACTTTGAAGCCCCAACCCCCAATGTGACTTGCAAATAGGGCCTTTAGGAAAGTAATTAAGGTTAAATGGAATCATAAAGCTGGGGTCCTAATTTGATAGGGCTGGTGTCTTTATAAGAAGAGGAAGTCCAAATTCGATACGACTGAGGAAGAGACACCAGATATCTCTCACTCTGCATGCACACAGAGAAGAGGCCATGTGAGCACACAGCAAGACGGTGGACATCAGCAAGCCAGGAAGAAAGGCCTCACCAGAAACCAAACTTAATGGCACCTTGATCTTGTCTTGCACTTTCTGAAACAGGAAGAAAATAAACTCCTATCATTTAAGTTACCCCGTCTGTGGTAACTTTGTTACCCATATGTGGTAATTCTCATAACTGTTATGGCAGTCCTCGTAGACTAGTACAACAGCTTTTAGGCTGTGTCTATGTGTGGCATGACTATCAATAATTTTAGAATTTTGTTAGGAAGTTTTTCTGAATATCTGACATAATCTGGTGCTAAGTGCAGTCTTAGTAAAATATAGTAAATCAGCAAGAAAAATTGTATTCAATTGGCTGTAGGTAGACAGATGTGAGTGTAACAGATTGCTTTCAAATATTCCAATTTCCTAGATTATCTCTTGGGATACAGCAAAAAAAAATTGGCTGCAAGATTATATTCATTGCAATCATGGCTAACTTAAGAGGGCTGGGAAGCTGTCATTTTTCTAAGTTTATTTCAATTCAATATCATCATATTTTAATCTCAAATTCACTAGAGGAATCAGTCAAAGTAACAGTTTTATTTTACTGCTCTTCAAGCAAAGTTTATTATGATTTTTAACATAAAGAGTAGTGTAGTACAGTGGAAAGAATATTGGATAGGCTAGAAAGAGTTCAGAACATAAGGATGGCAATCTAGTTTTAGACAATAAGATATTTTCTGAGCCAGGGAATATTACTTAATGTCCCTGAATCTCATTTTCATCCTCTGAAGAATAAGAGTGGGAAGGCAAGCTAGATATTCCCTAAGGATTCCCCAGCTCCAACAATATATTATCCTAAGACTAGTGTTTTTCTTATACAATATTGTCTATTTTACTTTGAATTATACCAGTCATAAAAGACCATATCTAACACAGATATGGATATCATAGGCAGCATATTTTTATCATTGAGTGGTTCTTGTACAATGTCATAAATGCATGTCAGTTAAAAATAAAACTGATATATCTGTGTAGCTTTTTGTCAATTTTATAAGTTCTGGTAAATCTGAATCAGTTTCTGCTTTGCTTCAGACTGTAGATTTGAAGGTCTTCAACGATGGCAAGATAACCATTTTTATATCTTACATCAAAGGCAGGTAGCTGTATTCACTAAATGAATAGAGTAAAAGCCTTCAATAAAAATAAAATTTATTTATTTTGGTTAACATTAAGTTTATAGCTAAATTAGGAAACATAAGGGAAGAATTTTTCAGGTATCTGATTAATACCATCCACATAGGTTGACAACCTAGATGACCCTTGGGAGACATAACCTAAACATAACACAGGAATAAAACAGTGTTCTTTTGATTTATCTTTAAATATTCTACTTGTTTGTCTTCTCTAAGCATTATTGTTGACAGAATTTCCCACTCCACTGGGAACTAAGACTTCTTATTCTTCCAAAATAAAATAACTTAGTCATTTAAAACTCGTGTTGCATTGTAGTAAACATCTGAACTCATTTAAGAACTGTTTATCTTGTGAGGTATGATTGTAGAGCACCAGTTATAAATGGCATTACAACATACTGTCTTGGACTGTAATTCAACCATTAGCGTTAGTTGTACTCTTCATGGGAAGGAAATGCAGTGTCTTAGTATGAAAATTACTACGTAAAATGATATTTTTAAAATGAGAATGGAATGTTCAATTTCATATGTTTGACAGATATCGCTTCGTAAACGTCTGGGAGCCTGAGAAACATTTAAACACATAATTGCAGGTGGCAAACAGATGCAAATATATGCACAGTTTTTGTCAGATAGTGTTTCTTTACATTATATATAAGCATTTTTTTTGTCAGATAGTGTTTCTTTAAATTATATGGACATACTTCCTGTCAAGAATGTTCCTCTTATTTATATTTACCTCCATTGGAGGTTCTCTAGGACCCTACATGAATAATCATCTTAGAGAAGGAGATATAAAAACCCACTGAATGTTCGAATTTGGTATAGAAAGGCTGACCATACTTTCCTTCTTGAAACTCTGTCAGGCAATTGTTCTGCAATGCTGTTATCTTACTCTATTCAGTTTTGTTATCTTCTTCCAGTAGAATTTTCTGGCTTCTCTTCTTCCAATCATATCATTGAAAGTATATTGTGACAGAATTTCACCCTTGGAGCTGTTATCTTCTTCCTCTTCTATGTGATCTTCTTGGGTAATATCTGTTCCAGTGACTTCAAATATTGTATATTTTATCATGCCTCTCACCTTTCTATCTCCAAGTTCAAATGCTCTCATACCTCAAGAGCCATACTTCTAGCTGCCTGCTAAGCATCTTCAACAGGATGTCCTACAGCCACATCAAAACAATATCTTCAAAACCATAGTAATTACATTCTGCTTCGAGTTTGTTTCTCTCCTTATGTATTCCACTAGCATTGAAATCAGACATTAGCTACAAAATATTGTTCCATTATCAAATTTTTACTTTTCTGCTAGTCAATATCTATATCCAATCAATAATTTCTCAACTTTCTCTTATATTTCCCTTGAATTCATTCTCTATCTATTCTAACTCTTCAAGTCATGTTTTAAGGTCTTGAATCATTTAATATCTGGGCTTAGCTTAGTTGAATTTCCCTTCCATACAGCTTCTGGAACTATTCTTTAAAACCCCAAATCTGGTCATATCACTCAGATTCTTAGATAGTACATGGGTGCTGCATTTCTTAAAGGATAATTTTAAAATTTCCCAGTGTGACATACAAGCCCCTTCACAATCTGTGGAAGTCTCATACACTAAGCTCCAGGCTATAAAAAAACAACTGTCCTAGCCAATAAACTCTGATTTTATATTCTTTTATATTCAAATCGTAGTGTAAAAACTGACTTCCAGCATGACATCTGAGGAGTTCCATGGATGTAATCCCTTGCAAAACTGGTAAATATTAATTTAAAAACAGCCATTTAAAGCGTCAGAAAATGATCTTAGAGCATCTAGCAAATGAAGATATACTTGTTCAAGAAAATCTACTAAAATTCTACAAAAAGAGCGAGAGTCTGTGGTATTCGTATGAAGACCTGTGCCTTCCTTTCTCCTCCCAGGTCAGCAAGACTACAACTCCGTTACACACGAGAGCAGCCAAGAACACAACATTCCCTTTTACCTGACTCCCAGTGGGAGTGTTATCTTTTTTAGGGATCATAAGGTCAGAATTTCTTACCCTGCCCCTAACTTCCTGTTGTTGAGGCTAAGTTTCAGGTAAATGCAGCTGAGAGGTGAGGGCTTTCTTTTCTACCCAGCCCCCATTCAAGTGATGGAGGTTCTACCTTGGAAAAGATACAACCAAGAATACTAGCGTCCCAATCTGCCTTGCCTTCACTTGTAATGCAGTAGTTTCATGGCCAAAGAATGGCTGAAGCTACTACCACTGACGACTTTGTTACCTCCACTAAGCACTCAGCTCCTAAAGCAGGAGAATCACACACAGAGAAGTCGGCCAGTTCAGGACCAGTTAGTTTCACTGTTGAATTCTACCAAACGTTTAAAGGATAATTAACACCAATTCTTCACAAATTCTCCCCTTAAAAAATAGAAGAGTCAGGGAATACTTTCTAATTCACTGTATGAGGCCATGATTTCCTGGCACCAGAACCAGGCAAAGACAACACAAGAAAAGGAAGCTGCAGAATCATATCTGGAATGTAAACACACAGATTCTCAAAAAAAAAACAAAACAAAAAACAAAAAACAAAAAAAAACAAAAAAAGTGAACCCAGACTCCTAGGAAAGGGATGCATTGAACATGTGAGGAGTGATTCACTTTCGCCACGGACATCTGGAATCCTGGTAGCAGGAGACCCCATGATCCCCATGGGCACTTGAGCTAGCAGCAAGAACTGCTTAAAGATTTTTAAGGCTGGGCAGAATTCCAGCCTATGTGGAGCCCAGAAGGTTTGGTGTGGGAACATCTGCAGCCAAGTACTGCCAGGGACGCCCATTCCCCAAGGCTCGCCATGCTCCTCAGGACACTCTAGACTTAGGGAAACTGTCAAACCAGAACACAGCAGAACAATCTTGCCCAGGAGACCAGTCAGTCCACCCTGAGCGCCTCCTGTCTGCTAACCTCTCCTGGGTCCCCACCCTGGCCACGCCTACTTGCAGTTTAGCCTCCAATACTCAAATGGGGTGCCTGCAGGATCCCGCATCATAGCTCCTGCACAGGAAGACCACAGCTGACTGTCGGAGAGCTCCAGCATCGTGGCCCTGGCCTACTGGCACCAGCCCAACTGCACCCTCTCCCCACTGCAGCCTCCCTTATGTCTCTTTGCCAGCAAGCACTTGCCCACAGCCACACTCTCATTGTTTTGCTGGCACACACATAGGCAAGTAGACTTTGCCTTTCCTTCACTTGCTGGCACAAGAGTGCACATACATCCTACTGTGCCATTGCCCAACAGCAGCCCTCCAGAGTTAGACCACACAGCCCAGGAGTGCTGAGCTGAGCCTTGCCTGCACCAAAATGTACCAGAAATGAAGCCAGTAAACTGAACCCACCTTATACAATGACCAAACCCCCAAGGATGTCAAAGAAAAGAAAAAGCAAATAATCATAATAATGAAAATTCCTCGCTGGGCACAGTGGCTCATGCCTGTAATCCCAGCACTTTGGGAGGCTGAAGCAGGTGGATCACGAGGTTAGGAGTTAGACACCAGCCTGGCCAACATAGTGAAACCCCGTCTCTACTAAAAATACAAAAAATTACCCGGGCATGGTGGCAGGCACCTGTAATCCCAGCTGCTCGGGAGGCTGAGGCAGGAGAATCACTTGAATCCAGGAGGCGGAGGTTGCAGTGAGCCGAGATCGTGTCATTGCATTCCAGCCTGGGTGACAGTGCAAGACTCCGAAAAACAAACAAACAAACCAAAAATAACAACAACAACAGCAACAAAACAAAGAATAGCAACTTCTTGAAGGAAAGGATTGAAGAAAAATCAGCCCACACATATGAGAAAGAAACAGCACAAGCACTCTGGCAACTCAAAAAGCCAGAGTGTCTTCTTACATCTAAATTAACACAGTAGTATCCCAGCAATGAATCTATTTTTAATTTTTAATTTTTGTAGGTACATAGTAGGTGTATATATTTATACATGCACATGGCACATACTCAAAATTGACAACATGATCAGACATAAAACAATCCTCAGCAAATTTTAAAAAATCACACAAACCACACTCTCGGACCACAGTGCAATAAAAATAAAAATTAATACTAAGAAAATCATTCAAAGCCATATAATTACATGAAGTTAAACAACTTGCTCCTGAATGACTTTGGAGTAAACAATGAAATTAAGGCAGAAATCAAGAAATTATTTGAAACTAATGAGAACAAAGATATAATATATTAGAATCTCTGGGACACAACTAAAACAGTGTTAAGAGGGAAGTTTATAGCACTAAACACCCACATCAGAAACTTAGAAAGATCTCAATTTAACAACCTAACATCACAACTAGAGGAGCTAGAGAAACTAGAGCAAACCAACCACAAAGCTATCAGAAAAGAAATATCCAAAATCAGAGCTGAATTGAAAGAAATTGAGATGCTAAAAACCATAAAAAACATTAATGAATGCAGGAGTTGGTTCTTTGAAAACAATTAATAAGACAGATAGACTGCTAGCTAGATAAAGAAAAAAAGAGAAAATTTAGATAAACACAATCGGAAATTTCAAAGAGGACATTACCACTGACCCCAAAGAAATACAAAAACCAGCAGAGACTATTATGAACATGTGTATGTATGCACACAAACTAAAAAACCTGAAAGAAATGGATAACTTGTTTGACACATACAACCTCTCAAGACTAAACCAGGAAGAAATTGGATCCCTGAACAAATAAAAAATGAGGTCCAAAATTGAATCAGTAATAAATAGCCTTCCAACCAGAAAAAGCCCAGAACCAGACAGATTCACAGTGAGTTTCTACCAGATATGTAAAGAAGAGCTAGTACCATTCCTGTGGCAGGCCAGGTCTCACTAACACAGACCTCCCTAACAACTGTTTCAGTATTGACTGAGTGGTTATTAAAAGCTGATAAAGCTTTACCTATCAGCTTTTAATAACCACTCAGGATGGAATGTAACAAAAGCCCACCAACAGTTTTGCCTAGGCCTTTCCTGGGCCTTAAAGCATGACAAGATAATGACGGAATTCTTAACAGGACCTGTTTAGGATTAAATAAGTTTTATTGGGAGTATGGAGAAACTCCCCAGGCCTCCACAAACAAGCTTTACTGGGGACTAAAGGAACTCCCCAAACCTCCATGATTTAGCAGGAGACAAGATAAGGGTAATCACCCCAGCAGCTAGACCCATCTAAGTTAAGTCAATTTACTGAGGCTCCAGAGGAAGGTCTTCAGGACTCAGATCTTAGTTACAGATTAAAAGAAGTTAATCACTTATGTCTTTAAATGAATGCACACTTAGATGTAGACATATAGCTTAGAAAGTATATAAGCTCTGAAAGACTGTAATTTTGAGTTGGTCTGGCAATATTTTTCAGGCCTTGTCCCTGTAACTGGTTACAGAAATAAAAACTCTCTTCCCCCTAGTTCATCTGCATCTCATTATTGGGCCACAAGAAATAGCAGCCCGAACCTCAGTTTGGTCTGGGAACATTCCTACTGAAATTATTCTATAATATGGAGAAAAAGGGACTCTTCCCTAACTCATTCTATGAGGCCAATATCATCCTGATACCAAAACCTGGCAGAGACACAACAAAAAAAAGAAAACTTCATGCAAATATACTTGATGAAAGTAGATGCAAAAATTCTCAACAAAATACTAGCAAACTGAATTCAGCAGCACATAAAAAAGTGAATCACCATGATCAAATAGACTTCATTCCTGGGATACAAGTTTGTTTCAACAAATGCAAACCAATAAATGTGATCTGTCACAGAAACAGAACCGAAAATAAAATTCTCATTTGTATCTCAAAAGATACAGAAGGGGATTTTGATAAAATTAAACTTCCCTTCATGTTAGAAACACTCACCAAACTAGGCATTGAAGGAGCCTGCTTCAAAACTATGAGTCATCTATGACATATCCGCAGCCAACATCATACTGAATGAGCAAAAGCTGGATGCATTGCCTTGAAAATTGGAACAAGAAAATAATGCTCTCTCTCTCACCACTGCTATTCAAAACAGTGCTGGAAATCCTGGACAGAGCAATCAGACAAGAGAAAGAAATAAAAGGCATCCAAATAGGATGACAGCAAGTCAAACTGTCCCTGTTGCAGGTGATATGATTCTATACCTATAAAACTCCATAGTGTCTGTCAAAAAGCTCCTTGATCTGATAAACAACTTAAGCAAAGTTTCAGGATACAAAATCAATGTACAAAAATTGGTAGCATTCCTATACACCAATGACATCCAAGCTGGGAGCCAAATAAAGAATGCAATTCCAGTCACAATAGCCACAAAAAGAGAACAATATCTGGGGAAACATCTAACCGGGAAGGTGAAAAACCTCTATAACAAGAATTGCAAAACAGTGCTCAGAGAAATTAGAGATGACACAAACAAATGGAAAAGCATTCCATGCTAATGGATAGGAAGAATCAATATTGTTAAAACAAACATAGTGCCCAAAGCAATTTACAGATTCAATACTATTTCCATCAAACTAACAAAGACATGCCTCACAGAATTAGAAAAGCTATTTTAAAATTCATATGGCACCAAAAAGCCCTAATAGTCAAAGCAATCCTAGGCAAAACGAAAAAAGCTGGATGCATCACATTACCCGACTTCAAACTATATTACAAGGCTACACAGTAACCAAGATAGTGTGGAACTGGTACAAAAACAAGCACATTGACCACTGCAATGGATTAGAAAGCCCAAAAATAAAGCCGCATACCTACAACCATCTGATCATTGACAAAGTCGACAAAAACAAGCAATGTGGAAAGGACTCTCTATTCAATAAATAGTGCTGGGATAACTGGCTAGCCATATGCAGAAGATTGAAACTGGACCCCTTTCTAACACCATATACAAAAATCAACTCCAGATGGAATAAAGACCTAAATATAAAACCTAAAAGTACAAAAACACTGGAAGATAACCCAGGAAAGACCATTCTGGACATAGGACCTGGCAAAGATTTTATAACAGAGAAATCAAAAGCAATTACGACAACAAAATAATTGGCAAATGATATCTAATTAAACTAAAGAGCTTCTGCATAGCAAAAGAAACTATGAACAGAGTAAACAGGCCACCTACAGAATGGGAGAAAATATTTGCAAACAATGCATCCAACAAAGGTCTAATATCCATAATCTGCAAGGAATATATATGTGAAAAAATGTTCAACATCACTAATCATTAGAAAAATGCAAATCAAAACAACAATAAGATACCATCTCACACTAGTCAGAATGTCTATTATTAAAAAGTTGTAAAATAACAGATACTGGTGAGGGTGTGGAAAAAACAGAATGCTTATGCACTGATGGATGGAATGCAAATTTGTTCAGCCATTGTGGAAAGCAATGGCAATTTCTCAAAGAACTTAAAACAGAATTACCATTCAACCCAGCAATCCCATTATTGGGTATAGTCCCAAGGAATATAAATCATTCTACCATAAAGACACATGCACATGGATGTTCATTGCTGCACTAGTCACAGTAACAAATACATGGAACTACCTAAACACCCATCAATAGTATACTGGATTAAAACAATGTGGTACATATGTATCATGGAATACTATGCAGCCATAAAAAAGAACAAGATCATGTCTTTTGCAGCAACATGGATGGAGCTGGACGCCATCGTCCTAAGCAAGCTAACACAGGAACAGAAAACCAGACACCACATGTTCTCACCTATAAGTGGGAGCTAAATATTGAGTACACAAGAATACAAAGAAGGGGACAACAGCCATCGGTGCCTACTTGAGGGTGGTGGGTCGGGGGAGGGTCAGGATCAATAAACTACCTGTCAGGTACCATGCTTACTACCTGGGTGATAAAATAATCTGTATATTTAACTCCTGTCACATGCAATTTATCTATATAACAAACCTGCACATGAATACCAAAACCTAAGATAAAAGTTTAGAAAAAAAACCTAGTGAACCAAATTCAGCAACGTACAAAAATAATTATACACCATAATCAAGTGGGATTTATTCCAGGGATCCAAGACTGATTCACCATAGGAAAATCTATCATATAGCAAATCAATAAAATAAGAAACAAAATGCACATGATTTTTTTTTTTTTGAGACAGGGTTTCGCTCTTGTTGCCCAGACTGGAGTGCAAAGGCACGATCTCGGATCACTGCAACCTCGCCTCCCGGGTTCAAGCGATTCTCCTGCCTCAGCCTCCCAAGTAGCTTAGACTACAGGTGTATGCCACCATGCCCAGCTAATTTTTTGTGTTTTTTTAGTAGAGATGAGGTTTCACCATGTTAGCCAGACTGGTCTCGAACTCCAGACCTCAGGTGATCCTCCCGCCTAGGCCTCCCAAAGTGCTGGGCTTACAGGCATGAGCCACGGCGCCCAACCCACATGATCTTTTTAATAGACACACACACACACACACACACACACACAAACACACCTGTCAAAATCCAGCATGCTTTTATGGGGATAATATTCAACACACCAGGAATAGAAGAAAACTTTCTGAACCTAATGAAGGGCATTTATTAAAAACCCACAGCTAACATCATAATTAATGATGAAAGATTGGGTGCTTTCTCACGAAGACCAGGAAAATAACAGTAATATCCACTCTTGCTCATTTCTAACGTGTTGCACTGGAGGACCTAGCCAAGATAATTATGCAAAACAAAAATGATAATAACAATAAGAAACAAAATTCATACAGATTGGAAAGGAAGAAGTAAAACTATCTCTATTTGCAGATGACATGATCCTGTATATAGAATATTCTAAGGAATCTGCAAAAATTATTAGAAATAACGAGAGTCCAGCAAGGTTGCAGGATATAAGATCAATATAGAAAAATCAACTATATTATTCAGTTTATTTAGTTTTTGTTCACTTTTAGACATGACCAATATAAATAACACATATACTTAACTTTTGGGCAGATTTATATCATTTTAATACTTTCTCAGTTCTACGATTACTTACAGTTCAGTGCTTACCATATTATTCATGAGTCATATTCTGTTTGCATTTACCCTTTGCAAAATTTAAGTTACTATTCACGATGATTTTCTCAATACTTTTGGTTTCAGTAAAAGTTTTCTTAACCATTCATGAAACTACATTTATCTAGTTATTCCAATTAGTTAACAAATACTATAAATTACTTCTTTTTAAGTATTTACTATTTTGGCTTCTAGAAGAGAGTTTAAAATAGCTGAGGTAGAAATAGATAACTTTGAAATTTCTGTGACTCCCTTAGTTTTACAATGTGTGATGCTTCATTGTATTAAATTCAAGATAATAATAGCAATTTGCTCACCAAAGAGTACACACATATGTTTCTCTAGGGCCTTGAATCCAATAATTACTATTTATTTTTATGAATCTCCAAACAGCAGTTCTCTGAGAAGATGCTTTTATTTTACAAGTGAAACCCTAAGCTCTTCTTGATGAGATCTAGCATATAGCAGCTCCAGGACAATCATTTATGAAAATTTATCTTTGTAGTCATTTTGGGTCCTCTTGTTTTTCCCCAAGACCACAGCTCCTAAAATGTATAAACAAAATGGAAATGTCCATTCCTGTTGATTATTGTAATGTTTTGTATAGCTGTCTTCTTAATTAATGAGCATATTTCAAAGAGATTAAGATAGATTGGAATAAAAGCCAATAATATTGCTGGAATTTATACCAGGATAAAATGCTCTAATGTTTTTAATAAACTTCAGAATTGGCAGGGCACAGTGGCTCACAGCCTGTAATCCCAGCAATTTGGGAGGCTGAGATGGGTGGATCGCCTGAGTTCAGGAATTCGAGACCAGCCTGGCCAACACGGTGAAACCCTGTCTCTACTACAAATCCAAAACTTCAGCTGGGCGTGGTGGTGGGTGCCTGTTATCCCAGCTACGTGGGAAGCTGAGGCAGGAGAATCACTTGAACCTGGGAGGTGGAAGTTGCAGTGAGCCAAGATCATGCTATTGCACTCCAAACTGAGCAACAAAAGCAAAACACCATCTCAAAATAAATAAATAAATGAATGAATAAATGAATAAAATAAACTTCAGAATCTTTAATAAATTTTAGAATCATTTTAGATTTCAAAAAATGTTGCAAAGTTAGTACAGGTAGTCTTTCTCTACACCCATTTTCCCTGTTGTTAACATCTTACATTATTATAATACATTGTGCCCCAACTAATGAACCAATATATCTATACACTATTATTAACTAATTTTTACTTTATTTCTATTTCTTAATGTCTTTTCTCTGACCCAGGATCCCATCTAGGGTTCCACATTACATCATTTAGTCATCATATCTCCTTCAGCGCATCTTGACTATGACAGTTCGTCAAGTTTTCCTTGTTTTTGATGACCTTGGTAGTTTTGAGAAGTACTAGTTAGGTATTTTATAGAATGTCCTTCAATTTGGGAAAAGCTCAAGAGTTTTTCATTGAGATTTCGTAACAGAAGAGACAAAGATGTGCTTCTGCGTGCCAAAATAGTCTTTGGAACATGTTCACAGCTTTAGTTCTTTTTTTTTTTTTTTTTTTTTTTTTTTGAGACGGAGTCTCGCTCTGTCGCCCAGGCTGGAGCGCAGTGGCGCGATCTCGGCTCACTGCAAGCTCCGCCCGCTGGTTCACTCCATTCTCCTGCCTCAGCCTCCCGAGTAGCTGGGACTACAGGCGCCCGCCACCACGCCAGCTAATTTTTTGTATTTTTTTTAGTAGAGACGGGGTTTCACCTTGTTAGCCAGAATGGTCTCAATTTCCTGACCTCATGATCTGCCCGCCTTGGCCTCCCAAAGTGCTGGGATTACAGGCCTCAGCCACCGTGCCTGGCCCACAGCTTTAGTTCTATGTTATAGAACTCTATTATCATTCCAAAGTTCTTCATTAAATTTTATTCAGTGTTGCTTTTAATTTTACTTTTAGTCACACTGGAATATTTTATTTAAATGAAAAACTGCATTGGATGCCAGTCCTCAGAAACAATTTTCTGTTAAACTTGACATCAAAAATGACATTTTAGTGTCACTGAGATGTGCCTCTTAGTTCATTTTTCTCCTCACTTTATTTTCTGTAGAAGACATTTTCATGTAATTAAATCTTCCTAGTACACGGTCACAGCTAAAATCCCTGCATATGTGCACACATATACAGCATGACAACTGCCTTGGCAAAAGGCTCTTTGTTTTCCTGAATGGTTCCTTTATGACCTTCAGTCACTGGCTGTTATTGATTCCTGAAACAAATATGATTCTTTCTTGGTTTTACTAGGCACACTCTCTCTTGTTAATTACTTTTAGTTCAAATCACTTTGCATTTCGTTAAGGTCAACAAATTGAAGGAATTGAATAATTCATTGCTGGACTTTCACTGCAGCTCTTTTTCCTCTACATCTCAGTTCTTTGAATACCAATAAAAAATAAAAACATTTTTTTCTTTGTCTATTGTTCCCAATAGTAACTGTGTGTGATTCTGTGTATGTGCTGGCAGGGAGGTGTGCAGTGGTGTAGGGCACCAACAGAAAGATTACATAGCAAAAGGTAGAAAGACATCTTCCTTGAATGTTTTCTTTTTGACTTTTCTTATTTTCCTTCTCAGGAGGTTGTGGCTTCAGTAAATGACAGTTTCATTCTACTGTTAAGAGAGGCATTTTAAAAAATCACCCTCTATATACCTAATTTTAAAAGTCTCCTGAATTATTTCAATAAAATAGAACAAGACATAATCTGAACCAGCAGGTAGTACGTAGAAATGCGTTTCATGAAAAGCTTGCATAAGTATTTATAAAATGAGAGTGAGAACATTTAAAGAACAAGTGTGCAGGTAAAATGTTCCAGCAACATGCAAAAACATTAAGGATACTTCCAATTTATGAATGTTCTGTTCTTTTCTTTAAAAAGTTACCTGCTGATTGTTATGACATTCAAAATATTTTTTTCCAAAATAATTTTTTTTTCTGCAGCAGACTTTGAGAAGTCTTTGCACATTGATGAAACGAGATCAGTCACTTCATTATTTCTAAAATTTAAATGACTTTGCATCCATAATCCAGAAAGACAAGATTAACTATATACTTTATGCATATTAGGTTGTAACTATTACATATAGTACCCAGTATAATATGGTCCACATTTTATTGGATTGCATGTGACCACCTGCTAACAACCAAAGTGATGCATTTCACATTTTGCATTCTTTCTATTCAGAGCTGATTTTCCAAATAGTCTCCAAAATGGATAAAGACAATGAATTATTTTAATTATTTTTTGCTTTTGTGTTCATGCTTTTTTTTTCTTTTTTCTTTCTCTTTTTTTTTGTTTTTGAGACAGAGTCTTTACATTTTCATAATGCCCTATGGTAGACTAAGTCATGATTTGAAAGTATTTCAGTGGCTATAAGTCATGTGTCTGATGCTCTTGTCCAACATATGACTTTTCCATCTCTGGGCATTCAAGTATATAAACACTCTGTTTCATTTCCAAAGATGAAAAGTAAGCATATAGTTTTAGTTATAGCTTATGGAACTTGTTCAAAAGTAGGAAACACACAACAGAACTAAAAACTAATAATCTTTAATATATTATTAAGCAACAGAGTAATTAGATAGTTCATTTTGCTCGCTTAAGACCTCATACCCATTTTTAACCTATATTAATTCCATGCACAGACGTTAAAAAGTTGGAATTGGGTTACAGAAGATGTGTGTTGTAATTTACTGAACCTAAAAAGTTACAAACATGGTTTATCCATCTGTGAGGCCCTTCTGTATGGTAGGAGGGTAAAACTTCTATGCTTTTAACAAATGGGAATATTTTTCTGAAACTGTGTTTAATTATTTACAGTTACCAAATGTATATACAGGATACAGGATATATGCCTCTTCTCCTCAAACACACATAGACTTTATAGTATTTTATAAGAAAAAAATCTTTGGAAAGAAAATAATGTATCAGTATGCTTTAACAAATGAAAAATTTCTGGGCTGGGCGAAGTGGCTCACACCTGTAATCTCAACACTTTGGGAGGCCCAAGTGGGAGGATCATTTGAGCCCAGGAGTTCCAGAACAGCCTGGGAAACATAGTAAGACTGCATCTCTACAAAAAACCAACAACAACAAAAAATAGCTGGGCATGGTTGCAGACACCTGTGGTCCCAGCTACTCGGGAGTCTGAGGCAGGAGAATCCCTTGAGCCCAGAAGGTCAGTGCTGCAGTGAGTCATGTATGTGCCACTGCACTCCAACGTGAGTTACAGAGAGAGACACTGTCTCAAAAAAAAAAAAAAAAAAAAAAAGACAAAAGAAAATAAATGTTTCTCAGTTCATCTTTCATCCACTAACTACATCCTCAATGTAAACTATTTTATAAATCTTGTAATTATAAATCTTGTTACTTAAAAGAAATACATGGTGGTGCATTGTTACTAATATACAAGTACAAATACTATACAATAACTTTGCCTCCTGAAATAACGTGATTGATGAAAAGGGCCCAATAACTTCAATCAGGTTTATTTATCTAGTTTGAAAATATTTGCCCACTTAGTTATGCCACTGTTTATTCATTGCAAAATATTAAACATATTTTAGACAAACATGACAACATAAGAGGATAATTTCTTCAAACACTTGATTTTCCACTTCTACGAACAGTGAATTTGATTTTTCCACAAGTCAACATGCTGATATGCTTTCTATAATATCACTAGACATATCTTTGCTATGACTGTTGTTTATGATTCTGAAATGATGGCATGATGTGTTATTTAGGAAGTGGAACCTGGTTAAAACACATTCTGTGGAGCCAAATGTTAAAAGTCAATTGCTCCTTTCTGGTTATTTCATTGAATGGCTTTAACGATGTGTTTTAACTGCCGAGTGAATCCGTGAAAGTGATACACTGATTCTAACTTCTCTCTAATCATGATGGAAAAATAACCATCTGATGTAAAAGGTTGTAAAAATTAGCAAATTTTATGTCTGATCATCCCTAATATACATACATACAAATGGAAGGTGAATAAGAAATGAAGGTATAATTAGTACTCACTAATTTGATTCATAATTGTTTTATTAGAAGTCAAATAAATAAGAACAGTTGCATTATCATAAAACTGTAGCTGATAAAAAAGTATTTGATCGAAATTGCAGCTATAATTAACAATTTTAAATGTTACCTCTATCATTCCCACTATTAACCTTATATAAAAGAAGTGTTTTAAACTAATATGTTTCAGATTCCTTTCTATGACTTACTTTCTTTAAAAATATAGTAAATATGATTTAGGAAAATATGAGCAAATGATAAGCTTTCCTGGGAAATATTTGTTAAGTAAGCTGACAGATATTTCTATGAAATTATTCATATGAAAATTATGATCTGCATTAGTTACTTAAAAGAAAAAAAGCAAATAGTTGTCTGTGTAATAAATTATGCTTTTAGGCAATATTGTTCCTACTATTACTGAGTCTACACAGTAAAAACATAGTTGGATTTTTTAAATGAGTTGAAGTATCTGACCTAGTCATAACAGTGGTTTGCTATTTATTTACATGTGAACATCCTCACAATGTTCACATGTAAATTTGTTTTCCCTCTTGTTCTAACCCAATAGTACTCAGCCCTTAATTTACTAAAATGTATTAAAATCACATTTAACTTTTCCATTTTAAGTACATTTGTTCATATTAATCAGTGCGTAAGTACTCATTTATAAGTGAAAGCTGAAATAAATGGAGTTGTCATTTAAATCATGAAAATATAGTTATTTAATTTTATGATGCTTCAGAAGCTATGTTTTAGCCCTTGCTTTAACAAGTTGGAATAATTGAGCCTCATTTCCAACAGAAAAAACAACTTGAATAAATATTCAACCTCGGTGTGCTGTATATTGCGTCTATTGAGAAGACAGTAGATATATGATTCCAATGTGATTTTAAATACCTGATCTGAAATTCTTTGTAATCCTTCATAACGCATATAATAGTAATAGCTTATATTTTAATATATTTTTAATCATATGAATAAAAACTCAGTGATAAATCTTGAAGGAATTTCTGCAAATAGAATGGTTATGCACTCAATAAAGAGCAACCATAAAAATTGAAACGGGTGAAGTTGTGACTCTATTTGATAGTTCCAATACAAAATTTACTAAAATACAAAATATTCATAGTCTATTATTAAAACAAATATTTTCAGTATTTTAGTTGATGATTCATAATTCTTAAATAAATAGAAATTATAGCGGGATCAACTGCAGAGTGATTACCTTTCAATACAGCATTCATTAATTTCTCTTTTACATTATAAAAATTTGGTCAATTATAAAATTAAGAAAATATATTCATTTCCATGAAACACTCTTAAAAACATTTGACCTTCAGACAAAATTATTTACTGGGATGATATAAAACCTGGTACATGTTTTTGAAAAAAACCACATCAAGATTAAAATCTATAATTAAATTCTTAAAACAAATCACAGAAATACTGAATACATTTCCTCTGATTTTTATTTTTCCATACTGACAATAAAATTTAACCAATGAAAATACCAAGGCATGTGCAAAGAAATGATGTCCTACCTTGATTAACAGTAAAAATAAACAGATATTTTAAGTCTGGAATTTATTGATACAGCCTTAGAAGTAACTAATTCATTAGCCGGGCATGGTGGCACATGCCTCTAGTACCAGCTACTCAGGAGGCTGAGGCAGGAGAATCGCTTGAACCCAGGAGGTGGAGGCTGCCACTGCACTCCAGCCTGGGCGACAGAGCAAGACTCTGCCTCAAAAAAAAAAAAAAAAAAAAAAGAAATAACTAACTCAAAATTTGTAGTGACCTCAGTGTCTCCAAGTGACTTAAGGTCCTTTCATAATAGTAGAACATTTCTTCCTAAAAGGTAGTATAAGAACCTACTAGCTACAGAAAGGAAAAACTATAGCAGACCTCTTGAACAGGGCTAAAATTCCCACAAATGGCCATTAATTTTGGTTTCTTCAGTCTCTGCATCTAAAAAGAAAATGCATTTCCATAGTGATACATTAAATGCAGTAGCATGGATCGTGTATTAGTCTGTTCTCACACAGCTATAAAGAACTACCTGAGACTGGGTAGTTTATAAAGAAAAGAGGCTTATTCAGCTCACAGTTTTGCAGGCTATACAGGCTTATGCTTCTAGGGAAGCCTCAGGAAACTTACGGTCATGGCAGAAGGGGAAGAGGAAGTAAGCACAGTCTTCACATGGCCAGAAGGAGGGAGAGAGTGTGAAGGGGAAAGTGTTACATACTTTCAGACAACCAGATCTCGTAAGAACAAACTCACTATCACAAGAACAGCAAGAGAGAAATATGCCCCCATGAGCCAATCACTTCCCACCAGGTCCCTCCTACAACATTGGGGATTGCAATTCAACATGAGATTTGGGTGGGACACAGAGCTAAACCATATCAGATCTATTTTAGTAGAATTAGCTAGCTATCAATTTATTAGTGTGCGAAGCCTAAAGAAATAATATACTGCATAAGAAAATGTTGATTTAGGAAAGTTTAAAACAAAAGAAAAGGAAGAAAATTCTAGGTTCCAGGATAATGTCCAAATAATGCTGGATCGTACAGGACAGTGCAACACTAGTATCAGGGTTGCTGGTTGATTGAATGAGCACATTAAATGCTGTAGTGGGAAGACAGAATGCCAACGGTGGATACTGAATGAGAGGTATTCTGGGAGAGGTGAAAAAGAAGCTAACACAGGAACAGAAAACCAAACACCGCATGTTCTCACTCACAAGTGGGAGTTGAGCAATGAGAACACTTGGACACAGAGACAGGAACAACACACACCAGGGCCTGTCAGGGGGTGGTGGACAAGGGGAGGGAGAGCATTAGGACAAATACCTAATATATGTGGGCTTAAAACCTGTATGACAGGTTGATAGGTTCAACAGACAATCATGGCTCATGGACACCTATGTAACAAACCTGCACATTCTGCACATGTATCCTGAAACTTAAAGTAAAATACAATAAAATAAAATATAAAATAAATAAGAGAAAAGAAGCACTATTTTCACATTCTATTTTTTACTGACAGTCAATTCCAACAACAAACCACTAGTTTGGCACCCATTGTCTTAAAGTCACGTAAATACAGTGTATTGAATCATACTATTACTATCATTAATAATAACGATAATATATAAACTTTGCATGGCACCAATATGTTCCAGGCACTGTTTAAATCATTTTTAGATACATGAACTTATTTAATATTCACTTACTTAAAACTTACAATAACCCAGTGAGATAAGTATGATTATTATTCCCATCTTACAAACTGGAGAAAGACTTCTTTTTATCATTTAAAATACTTTCATGTTTGTAGATGTGAGATCATTTTAGGAGAACCTATATTTATAGATTATAATTCCTTCTTGCTATATAATTCTATTCCAGATTTTCAGTTGTAGCTACTTTGTTCTTTTTCCATCTTTCAGTAGCATTTAATAAGTAAACTAAATCCTTGAAGAGATAATCTCCAAAATTGGAACTAGTGAGACCATTTAGTAGAACTTACTTCATCTAGTCATCAGTTCAAAAATATGAAAGCCCATTTAATCTAGAATGAAATAAGTGGTCTCTTTGAAGGAAGAGACCTGAATTGTATTTATTTGATTTTCCTTTTGTTTATCTTATTTTATTTTATTTTCACTTTCTTTGTACTATATCTGCTTGCTTTTCCTTTCCTTTTTTTTTTTTTTTTTTTACTTTTTGAATTTTATTTAAAACCTTAAGAGGAACAATGCTTAACTTCTCACTTTATTTTTCAAAATGTCAGCTGGACATTCTGTTAACTTTTAATACCCCTAAATTAAAAGATAATTCTGAATCTTCTGTGAAATGCTGGAATATTTGTATGCACCAACATTAAATAATTTTTTCCTGGGCTCATTGATGAGAAGCAAAGCAAAAATTACGTAGGCGTGATAAAGCTGTGATGGCTTTATCTTTAGCCATGATGATCTTTTGTTGGGAACAAGCCCCCAAATCTGGCCATAAACTGGCCCCAAAACTGGCCATAAACAAAATCTCTGCAGCACTGTGACATATTCGTGATGGCCATGATGCCCATGCTGAAGGTTGTGGGTTTACTGGAATGAGGGCAAGAAACACCTGGCCCACCCAGGGCGGAAAACCGCTTAAAGGTGTTCCTAAACCACAAACAATAGCATGAGCAATCTGTGCCTTAAGGACATGTTCCTGCAGCAGATAACTAGCCAGAGCTCATTCCTTTGTTTCGGCCCATCCCTTTGTTTCCCATTAATCTATAATCTATAGAAACAATGCTTATCACTGGCTCGCTGTCAATAAATATGTGGGTAAATCTCTGTTCCTGGCTGTCAGCCGCCTGATTTCCCACTCCACACTCTATATTTCTGCGTGTGCGTCTTTAACTCCTCTAGGGCCACTGGGTTAGGGTCTCCATGACCGAGCTGGTCTCAGCAATCTTTAATTAATGGCTATTCCTTATATATGCACAGAATAATAAATAATTTGTCAATATGTTTCCTTGTTTTCAGTTTTAGTTCCCTGACAAAATTCAAACCTAAAGCACATATGTTATTACACACACAGATTGACTTACTACTTTTATAAAAATTTTCTACAGGCTGAGCGCAGTGGCTCACACCTGTAATCCCAGCTCTTTGGGAGGCCGAAGCGGGCGGATCACCTGAAGTCAGGAGTTCGCGACCAGCCTGACCAACATGGAGAAACCCCATCTCTACTAAAACTACAAGATTTGCCAGGCATGGTGGTGGGGGCCTCTAATCCCAGCTACTCAGGAGGCTGAGGCAGGAGAATCGCTTGAACCCTGGAGGCGGAGGTTGCAGTGAGCCGAGATCGCGCCATTGCACTCCAGCCTGGGCAACAAGAGTGAAACTCCGTCTCAAAAAAAAAAAAAAAAAAAAAATTCTACAGTCTAACAGAAAATCCATACTCTATAATGATGTGGGACTAGTATCATAGATTTTGCCAGCACGTCTGCATCATATTGCCTGCTAATATCATAACAACAATAATAACAATAATAAACTGGGCACTGAATAAAAGTCATCTTTCATCACAATAAAAAGCATCTGTGCTTGTGTCTTCATTGCAATATCAGTATAGATTGCATGTATTCTGTCTGCAGTGATTAGGAGGCAAAAACAGAGGGAAAAAGTGGGAAAAAGTGCTTTTAATGTCTATGGGCTTCCAGATGCCACAGTTCACTAGCTACACAAATTGTTTCTAAGCAATTTGGCGTATCTTATCAAGTCCTTCAGATTAAATTTAAAATGCAGTCCCATATGTGAAAATATAATGTTTTATGTACTAGACCCTAGAGTTCCAGCTCATTTTTAGATGCTTCTGCAAAAAAGCCGTTGAAAGTTGGTGCCAGATTTTCCCACAAATAAAATCTATATATTACATTAGAAAATATTCTGTTCAAACATAAAAATAAACTGTGATTTGTAGGCAGTAGAAATATTTTTGTACACAATTTTAGCTTCCTTAAAAGCTTCTAAAAAGAAAAGTGGGCTTGCCTCGCAGCAAAAATGGTTCTCATCCTGCATTTTCTGACAGTCATTAGGGGTACCAATATGGAAGAGGGTCAGTAATATCAATTTCCCTCTTTCTCAGAACTATCTTAAATCCTGCTGATTAACAGTGGATTAAAATATATTGTTTTGTTTTTTAGTCTAGTAAAATATAAAGCAAGAAATTTTACAGCAGGTATAAACACAATTTGTTTTTATTAAAATATTTAATTGCTTAAAAAGCAAATAGTAATTTATAATGTCTAATAACTGGACACAGTCCCACACACATTCTATTCTATACATGTTGCTTTGAATTTTTTATCTTTGTAATAATGCAATTAGGAAGCAGAACTTTAGAACTAGCAGGAATAAATATGAACCATTATAGTGATTAACATTAATGACTAAGTTTCTCCAAAGCGTAGTAAAGAACGATGAGACTATTTTATATTGGTCACTAAATTTACATACGTAGGTTGATTCATGTTGGCAGTGATTGGCTACATTGAGTATCAATAGAACTCTAAATAGAATTCACAGGTGCTGTCTTAATTTGAATTTTATTAGGAAAAATTAGCTATAACAATCAGTTTATAAGGAAAGTTCAGTTTGTAATTGTATAAAATCTGAAATTGTGAACATGCTAAAAGAAACCTGGATAATTTTGTCAACTAAGGAAAAAGGAAGCTTGTTCAAAATGAGAACTTGTAAGTTTTCATTATACAGTGTCCAGTGACTGTGATACTTCCATGCATGTAAAAATAAGACTCATTCATTGTAAACATACAAGGAAATCTATATTTCTTTAAGAATAATCTCAGGCTTCTTCAAGTAATTTGGTTTCCTTGGAGCCTATCTAGGACCCCATATAAATGTTCTTCTTTAACCAATAGAAACTATATGCTGTTATGTGCTGAATTAAGCATTTTGCTCATAAGGTTTCTTTGTTTTGTTTTGCTTCCTTTCCACTGAATCTTGAGCAATGGGGCAGTTTTACTCATAATCTAATGTCAAAAAAAAATTTGTTAACTAGCTGGGCATGGTGGCACACACCTATAGTCCCAGTTACTCGGTAGGCTGAGGCAGGAGGATTCCTTGAGCCCAGGAGTTCAAGGCTGCAGTGAACTATGATTTTGCCACTGTACTCCAGCCTGGGCAACAGAGACCCTGTCTCAAAACAAAAGAACAAAAACAAACAAACAGACAATCAAAAACAAAAAATAAAACAACAACAAAAAACTTTGGTGATAAAATCAATAAACAAACAAGGAATATACAGAAAATTCCTCAACCTGATAAAGGACATCTATGAAATAACTGCAGCTAACTCAAACTTAATGGTGAAAGAATAATGCTTCCTTGCTAAGATCAGGAACAAGAAGAGGATATATGCTTTTACACAGCAATTAAACATTGTACTGGAGGTTCTAGCTAGGACAATCAAGCAAGAAAAAGAAATGAACAGCATCCATATTGCAAAGGAAGAAGTAAGACTATCTCTATTTGAAGACGACAGGATCTTATATATAGAAAATCCTAACTGAATGTCTATGCAGTAGCAATGAATAATCCAAAAATAAAATTTAAGAATACAATTCTACTTACAATAGCATATAAAAGGATAAATATTTACTTAGGAATGAATGTAATAAAAGAAGGGCAAAACTTGTACACTGGAAATTCAAAATAGTGTTGAAATAAAGAGGTTCTAAATAAATGAAAAGGCGTACCATGTTCATAGATCAGAATAGTTAATATTGTCAAGATGGCAACATTATTCAAACTTATGTACAGATTGAGCATAATCCCTACAAAAATTCAAACTGGGCCGGGCACGGTGACTCATGCCTGTAATCTCAGCACTTTGGGAAACTGAGGCAGGCAGCTCACCTGAGGTCAGGAGTTTGAGACCAGCTTGGCCAACACGGCGAAACCCTACCTCTACTAAAATACAAAAAATTAGCCAGGCATGGCCGCACATGCCTGTAATCCCAGCTACCCAGGAGGTTGAGGCAGGAGAATAGCTTGAACCCAGGAGGCACAGGTTACAGTGAGCTGAGATCACACTACTGCACGCCAGCCTGAGCAACTAAGACTCAATCTCAAAAAAAAGAAAAAAAAATCATTTTTTGCAGAAATTGATATGCTTAAGCTGATTCTAAAATTCATATGGAAATATAAGGAACCCAGAATAGCCAAAAAAGTCTTGAAAAATAAAAACAAATTCTATCAAAACCTCTGGGGTAGAAACAAGGTATCAGTATTTTTTAAAATTTTGGAAAAACAACATGCACAACCAATGTTGGGAAACACACTTTTAGGGCAGATAACTGTGCTGGACACTTGATTCATAACTAGCTCTGAATCTCAGTTTCCTTGTTTGTAAAATGAGTATAGTTCCTGTCCTCAGTGCTATAAATGAGTATCTGTATAAGAAAGGGCTTCTAGAACACAAAGAATAACCCCTAAAAATCAAGTTTTTAGGCCGACACAGTGGCTTGCACTGATAATCTCACTGCTTTGGGAGGCAGGAGGATTGCTCGAGGCCAAAAGTTTTGAGAGCAGCCTGGGCAACATAGTGAGACTTCCGTCTCTACAAAAGAAGTAAAACTTAAAAATTAGCTAGGCTTGGCCGGGCACAGTGGATCAGGCCTGTAATCCCAGCACTTTGGGAGGCCAAGATGGGAGGATCACCTGAGGTCAGGCGTTCGAGACCAGCATGGCCAACATGACGAAATCCCATCTCTGCTAAAAATACAAAAATTAGCTGGGCATGGTGGCAGGCGCCTGTAATCCCAGCTACTCGGGAGGCTGAGCCAGGAAAATTGCTTGAACCCGGGAGGGAGAGGTTGCAATGAGCCGAGATAGCACCATTGCACTCCAGCCTGGGGGACAAGAGTGAGACTTCATCTCAAAAAAAAAAACAAAAAACAAAAAAACAAAACAAAAAAAGCAAATTAGCTAGGCTCGTTGGCACACACTTGTAGTCCTAGCTGCTCAGAAGGCTGAAGCAGGAGGATTGTTCCAGCCCACGAGTTTAAGGTTGCAGTTAGCTGTGATTGCACCACTGCACTCCAACCTGGATGACAGAGCAAGATGCTGTCTCTAAAATTAAAAAGATTTCAAAAAAATAGAAATTAAGTTTTTGAGTGATCTTGGTATATGGTGTCCATGGTAAAATTCTTCATCTTTCCTGTATGTTTGAAAATTTTCTTTTCTCCATACCTGGAACAAGGTTTGTGAACTGATTCTACCCCAGGAACTACTACTATATTTTCTCATTCTTTTCCAATTTTTTTTTGAGCTCTCTTTCAGTAATCTTAAGCTTTCTGTTCTTCAACAGCAGAGCTAAATTTCTGTAGATGCATAATTCATATACATATATTTGAAATATATAATACTGTTTGGCCAGACAAGCATAGATGAATCCTAAAACATTCATAAAATTAATATTTTCCCTTAAATTTATCTTTAGTACTATTAAGTGAGAGAAGATAGTGAAATAGTTTATTCATCCTTGTCCTGAGTTTCTTGGGATTCTCAGATTAAAAATACAACTTTCAGTTCAAATTTGAGGGGGTTTGTAGGCTTATGGTAATGAAAAATAGAGGGAAGTATTTTTATTTTACTTCTATCTCCATATTTTTATACAAAATATATCTTATCCTAAATAATGTGATGTTAGTAGCAGAATAACTAGACTGAAAGCTACTTTGTATGCATTTTTCCAGACTAAGTTAATTGCTACTGCCTCTGGATTTCCATGGCCTTCTGTTCATACCCTGATGCTATAAAAAGTGGCTATTACAGTTAATATTAACCTATATGTAGGTAAGTTTGTACACCGCACAAGACTGTGAGGTCCTTGGAGGTAGGAAGTGTGTCTTATTAGTCATTGTATCATCAGTACATACATTTTTTCTGAGTATTTGTTATGCACAAATATAGTCCTAAGTGGTAGTAATTTGATGTCATTACTGTTTAGCACAGTTCCTGGCTTATAATAAGCACCCAATAAATATTTCTGGAACTTAAACAGAATATAATATATTCTACTGCCTCAATAAGACAAAATAGAGGAAAGTGGTTAGACTAAGAAACCATTCAGTCATTTATTCATCAAATTGGCTAGGCTAATTCCAGAGAATAAATAATAGAGTCTCTTTCTAGAGTTATTGGTACTGGAATTATATAGGAGGGGTGAGGACCCATGTAATAATGGTTATCATTTGAATTAAAACTTAAATCCAAGAGGAGCACTAGCTCTTTTCCTATAAAACTGAAACTCTCCTGTGTTTCAGTCTCCATCTGTTGGGAGCAGGATTGTGGATGAAAACATTCAGAAGAGTAAGAATGCCCCTAAAATTCAGTCTTAGCTCAAATATGATTTTGCTGTATAAATTTGGAGATAAAGCATTTTTTTGTAAGCTCTGAAAAAAAATGGGGACTATATTATTTTACTCACTGGAGAGTGATAAAGCTCAGTTGAGGTCTATACTTCTCACAATGCTCCAAGTCACTGAACAAAATTTAGGTCTACATTGAAAATGAATTTTAAAATCCTCGGGTTTTGTCCCTATAAACACTTTCTTTCCACAAAATGGTGGCATTTAGGAAGTCTTCCCCACTCATTCATCTTGAGAAAGTATTTGTGTATATAATCTCTTCAATCCAAAGAAAAGAATTAAGGACATGATTTTCTGGATTTTCATTAGTAAAACTCGTATGCCATCTGATTTAAATAGTTGTTTTAGAAAACACACATATATATAATTCAGGAAAGGTGCTATTAACAAACATTGAATATTTGAGGGAAAATTGTCATACCGATGAAGCTAGCTCCAAAGCAGACCTTATAATGGCCAGAAAGTATACTAACTTGATGAAACTGGGACTTTGCTTCTAGTTCAGCTATGCCCAAGTGTGTGAACTTAGGAAGTCACTTCATCTCTTTGAGCCTAGTTTTTCTCAATTTTAAAATGAGATTTTTGGATAGATGATATCTAAAATAACTTGCAATGGTACAACTCAATGATTCTATAGTAAACAATGGAAAACTAATTCTTCATCCTTTTAATCACAAAGAAAAGACACACATGTTTATTTATTAATTTTCTGCCAAGATTTTGGCATTTATATAGTTGGGGGTTTTTCATGTTTTGTTTGTTTGTTTTGGGTTTTTTTTTTTTTTTTTTTTTTTTTTTTTTTTTTTTTTTTTTTTTTTTGAGGCAGAGTTTCACTCTGTCACTCAGGTTAGAGTGTAGCCTTGACTTCCCGGGCTTAATTAATTCTTCCACCTCAGCCTCCTGAGTAGCTGACTGGCAAGCACCACCGCACCTTGCTAATTTTTTATTTTTTGTAGAGCTGAGGTCTCACTATGTTGCCCAAGCTGGTCTCGAATTCCTGGGCTCAAGTAATCTTCCCTCTTTGGCCTTCCGAAGTGGTGGGTTTACAGGTGTGAGCCATCACCCCCACCAGTATTTATATAGTTTAAAGGACTATTGTCAGCTGGGTGTGGTGGCTCATGTTTGTAATCCCACCACTTTGGGAGGCTGACGTGGGTGGATTGCTTGAGCTCAGGAGTTCAAGACTAGCTTGGGCAATATGGAGAAACCCTGTCTCTACGAAAAATACAAAAACTAGCCAGATGTGGTGGCACATGCCTGTAGTCTCAGCTACTTGGGAGGCTGAAGTCAGAGGATCACTTGAGCCTAGTAGGCGGAGGTTACAGTAAGCCGACACTACGCCACCGCACTCCAGAAAAAGGATTCTTGTGCACTCTAAATTTGTTGGCAAAGTAAAACAGTTAACCTTTATACCACAGGCTGAACTACTTCTCATATCAGCAAGGCTATCTTGTTTTCTTTCTTAGTAACAATCATCCCAATCAGGACTCATAGGATGTGTACTTACACATTTTCTATTATACAATGAATAATTTCCTCTAAAAATACATTTATAATGTTGATCAATCATAGTGACATCATATTTTCCAAATTTTGCCAATTCCCTCAGTTTTAGAAAAAGAAGAAAATTCATGGCCAGCAATTGTGGTAAGAAGCTACAAAATAACAAAATAGACAGCAAGATCTTTCCAGTAGTTTAACTAGATGGCCAAAGTAATCTACCATTGAAAAGTAAAGAAATATCACTAACTATATTCTATAACTTTGTTCTGTATTCACTCTAAAACAACATGGAAAATTACTAGTTAGAGAGACAAATAACATAGATAGAGGCAAAATCTGGCACATAAATTTTGATTTTGACTCTTTCAAGAGCCACACAATTCCCTGAAATTAAATATCATTAAGATACTTGCCTATAGAAGAGACACACAAAAAATTACTAAAATAAATCTTATTATGTGGCATTTTCAATTGAAACAAAAGTAAATATTTTCGCTAATAATTCTATGGTTTGATAGCCCCTAGTTTGCCTGTTTTTTTGCACTAGACTCAAACTGTTCATCTGCAGTGTCTTTCAATGTCTATTTTTTTTTTTTTTTTTTTTGAGACGGAGTCTCGCTGTGTCTCCCAGGTTGGAGTGCAGTGGCGCGATCTCGGCTCACTGCAAGCTCCGCCTCCCAGGTTCATGCCATTCTCCTGCCTCAGCCTCCCAAGTAGCTGGGACTACAGGCGCCCGCCAACACGCCCGGCTAATTTTTTGTATTTTTAGTGGAAACGGGTTTTCACCGTGTTAGCCAAGATGGTCTCGATCTCCTGACCTCGTGATCCGCCCGTCTCGGCCTCCCAAAGTGCTAGGATTACAGGCGTGAGCTCAATGTCTATTTTTAAAGTTCTTAAGAGAAGATTCGCTGTCAGCAATATAACTTCCAGTTTTATAGCTTTTAGATAATCTTTTAAAAATATACTTTAAAGATTAATATAGCACTTCATATTCAGTGAGGAAAAGGAAGCAAAAATTAGCAAGTAAAATTATAGAATATAATTGAGGATAGTACGTTTTAGCAAAAAGAAATGCAGGTGCAGGTTTAAATTACAGGAAAGTATTAATTTTAATGTTCATAATAAGGAGAGTTGCCAACGTGATAAAGGATGGAATCATCAGTTTGCAGCTATTGGTGACATTTCCTATTGTCATTCAGCCAACTAATTGCCTTTTTGCCTAGATGAATTTATTTTTCTTTTTTAAGTGATGGGGACTCTGTCCACCAGGCTGGAGTGGAGTGGCATCATGATAGCTCACTGCAGCCTCAAAATATTGGGCTCAAATGATTCTCCTGCCTCAGCCTCCTGGGTAGCCAGGTCTATAAGCACATGCCACTATGCCCAGCTAATTTTTAAAATTTTTGTAGAAACAATGTCTTCCTCGGTTGACTGGGCTGGTCTCCAACTACTGGGCTCAAGCGATTCTCCTGCCTTGGCCTCCTAAACTTTTGAGATGACAGGTGTGAGCCATCACATCTGGCCCAGATGAATTCCTTATGACAGACATGTTACAGGAAATTCTGTGTTTGCTAAAATATGTTATATTTTAAAACTTCTGCTTACATAATCTGTCTTGATATATGGATATTGCTTAGATGATATAAATGGCAATTATTAGCAAGCACTCCATGTGAAATATGACAGAAAGTATAGGATTGTGAAGTCTCTGGAAAACTAACATTTTAAATAAAGCGTGAATAATATTAGGAACTATTTTCTGTCATCCAAAGTCATAGTTATTACTATATTTACTCAAAAATATTACACATCAGAAATAAACTGTAAGTAGAATACTATTTTATAAAAATAAGATTATAGTAGATTGATAAAAAATTATATCAACAAACAGATGTAAAGAGTATATTTTCTGAACACTTAATATCATATGAATAGATACTAATGAGAAATATTTTTCTCTTTTAATGTATTGAAAATATATTTCATTATTGTGTGAAAAAATAAAAAACAGTGGTCAGCTATATTTAAATATTAATATTACTGTACACTATATTTCACTATATGTATATTATTGAAGACTGATTTTTCCTAAGTTTACACAATAGAAGTAATGTCATTCACAATCCCTATCAATATGCTCACTAAAAATACCCTTCGGCTAGAGTTAACCTATGGAAACTTTATGTAATGCAAATGATATCCTTGTCAGTTTCACTTTTTTAGCCAAATTCCCTTTGCAAATCCTGTGTATCTAGTAATAGTCCCATAATGCTTTCAGGAATTTCATGAAAACTATCCCCTCCTATGGCAGATTCATTTATAACAGGAAGTACTAGAAATGCAAAAGTGCAAACAATGATTTTTCATTAGCTGGAGAGTCATCCTTAAGCATTTAAATATCATACAGACACATTATGAAAGCAATTACAGTGCACATAGCTACTGAAATCTGAACATGGACCAGTTTTAAATTGCTTTAAAATCAATAACATATATCACTGGTCATAATTATCAAACATCAGAAGTAATGTAGGGTTGTATATAATTATGGTTACAGTCATGGGATTTTACAACAAAGCCCACGACCTCTGGAATTGAATCTTTTTCACTTGCACTGCCTAATTCTGTTTAAGTGGGGACTTACGTATGTAATAGAGCAAAGAAAAAAAGATAGGTTTTGTGATTACAAATACCCTGTACAGACAATAAAATCCCATAGGAAAGATGGCTTTGGTAATACATTAAGAGTTTTGCAGAGACTGCTTTGAGTGAGTCCATGTTCTTTGTCAATAAAATGGAAAACTGGATTGTGATCTCAACTTTCACTTTTCAAAATACACAAGGAGACTGCTGATTATCAGAGCATCTTTAAATTATAAAGCTTTAGCATTGAGGCTGCAATAAGACTCTCTTGGTGTTCAATATATGCCAAGAATGATCTTTTTAAACTCTATTTATGATACCTTAAAATTATTAATTTATTTGTATCCAATCAATGAGTCAATTACTCTTAATCCTATAATACCATCATGAAAATAATTTGTCAAGCAGCATACTGTATGTATTAGTCTGTTTTCACACTGCTGATAAAGACATAGCTGAGACTGGGCAATTTACAAAAGAAAGAGGTGTACTGCACTTACAGTTCCACATGGCTGGGGAGGCCTCATAATCATGGCAGAAGGTAAAAAGTAAGGAGGAGCAAGTCATATCTTACATGGATGGCGGCAGGCAAAAACAGAGCTTGTGCAGGGAAACTCCCATTTTAAAACCATCAGGTCTCTTGAGACTCATTCACTATCACAAGAACAGTGCAGGAAAGACCTGCCCCCATAAGTCAGTCACCTCCCGCCGTGTTCCTCCCATGACATGTGGGAATTCTAAGACTTACAATTCAAGATGAGATTTGGGTATGGACACAGCCAAACCATATCATGATAATATATATAGAATTCTTGCATCAGAATTACAAAAAAAAAATGACATTTAAAAAATGACACTCTTTAACTCCAGGATTCTTTGCAGTTACATGTGTTAGTATTTATTTTAAGCAATAGCCTTTGTTCTGAATTTTATTCACGTTTTCACTGCTTGTCTATGTATGTGCACACTTTACTTCAAACCTTGCCTTCAAGAACATTCATGAATACATGTTATTCCTGCCAGACCTCAGATGATTTCTAGTGAAACAATATACAACAAAATAGAATTACTTCTCATTAGAAGACAATCCAAGAAGAAATACTTATCTTAGGGCTTTCACAACATTGATTGTTTTTTAGACGGTGGCATATTCCTCCTTAACAATTTTCTACTTCACCCTCTTTATATCAGCAAACCTGTACTTGTCCAACATCTCACTCAACAATAAAGTCATTCTGTTTAGTAAAACAAAATAAATAGCAACAAAAAATAACAAAAGAGAATCAGCTCATTATTGGTATATTTCAGTAAGAAGAAGCCCGTGTCATAAATGTTACTTCCAACTTTGAGCAAGATGGAGATATCACTGCAGCTTACTTGGAAACCAGATGATAATTCTAATTAAAAAGTATTTTCCCTATAAATGTCAGTTAAATTTGAAAAACAATAATTCTTGATGGCAACATAATACAGTAATTAAAATTTAATCTATGCATCAAGATGAGTCATTTATGTTTGCAAAGTACAGTCTCTTTAGATTATTTCATTTTTTTAACTGTAAAATGACTAAAACTTTGTATTATTTTGAAGTTGTAAAATATGAAAACCAGTCCCTGGTGCAGAGAGAGAAGATGGTGGATAGGAGGCAGGACTAGCTTGCAGTTCCAGCTCAAACAGACAGAGCAGTGTGTGGAGACCTGCATCGTGAACCTTTGCTCCAGAACTCCTACAGAAATATACCAAGAAAGCCAAGAGAATCCACAGACCCTCTGAAGGAAGTGGATTGCTCCTGCAGGAGCCGGGAGACAGCCCAAATACTGTGAGTACCCAAGCTGTGACAGTGGGAAAGGGGGATTGTCTGCCCCCAAACACACGCCCTCACTGGGGAACCTGAGGGTCTAAATCACGGGAGAGGCATTTGACCTCATCTAGAACTGAGTCAATTTAGATAGCCAAGTGAAATACAGGGGTAGAGGAAGCAGCGGAAAAAGCCCTGTGGGCTCTCTGGGTCCCCAGGGTAGCTATTTCTGACTTGTCTCACAGGGGTCCTTGGGGAGGGCTGCCAGAGGAACTGGGAAAAGACCACAGGGAGAAGGAAACCTCCAGCTGAACTTTGTAACAATTCCAACCAAATGCGAAGTCTCCTGGCCAGAACTCAGGGTAGGGTGTGAATCTGGTATGCAGAATCGACAGGTGGGGAGGTGCAAAAGCCCTGCTTGCTTTCTCTGTGGGGAGGCTGGTAGCCTGGGGCAAGCTCTCAGCCCTGCTTCCCCACTGCCTGGAAACAAACTCAGCACTGTTTTGGTGGGGGGCACGGTGGGAGTGAGACAGGCCTTTTGGGTTGCATGAGAGCTAGGTGAGGTCTGTAACTGCCGGCTTTCCCCTACTTCCCTGACAAACTGCATGACACAGCAGAGACTGCCATAATCCTCCTGGGAACATAACTCCATTGACCTGGAAACCACACCCCCATCCACCACAGCAGCCACAGCATGCCCTGCCCAAAGAGAATCTGAGCTCAGACACACCTAACCCTGCCCCCACCTGATGGTCCTTCCCTACCCACCTTGGTAGCTGAAGACAAAGGGGATATCCTCTTGGGAGTTCTAGGGCCCTGCGCACCACCTGTTCCTCCCTATACTACCACAGCTGATGCTCTCTTGAAAGCACCACCTCCTGGCAGGTGGCCAACCAGCACAAAAATAGTGCATTAAACAATCAAAACTAAGGACCCTCACAGAGTCCATTTCATTCCCCTGCCACCTCCACCAGAGCAGGTGATGGTATCCACAGCTGAGGATACCGAAGACACTTCACATCACAGGACTTTGTGCAGACAATCCCCAGTACCAACCCAAAGCCTGTTAGCCCTTCTGCATGGCTAGATCCAGAAGATAAATAACAATTATTAGAGTTCCACTCTCAGGAAGCCACATCCTTAGGAAAAAGGGAAGAGTACTACATCAAGGGAACACCCCATGGGACAAAAGAATCTAAACAGCAATGTCCAGGAGCGGTGGCTCACGCCTGTAATCCCAGCAGTTTGAGAGGCCAAGGAAGGCAGACCATCTGAGGTCAGGAGTTCAAGACCAGCCTAGCCAATATGGTGAAACCTCATCTCTACTAAAAATACAAAAATTAGCCAGACATGGTGTTGCACACCTGTAATCCCAGCTACTCAGGAAGCTGAGACAGGAGAATTGCTTGAACCCAGGAGGCAGAGGTTGCAGTAAGCCGAGATCGCACCACTGCACTCCAGCATGGGTGACAAAGTAGGACTCCATTTCAAAAAAAAAAAAAAATCTAAACAGCAACCTTGAGCCCCAGATCTTCCCTCCGATATAACCCACCCAAATGAGAAGGAACCAGAAAAATAATTCTCATAATATGACAAAACAAGGTTTTTTAACACTCCCCCAAAAATCACACTTGCTCACCAGCAATAAATACAAACCAAGAATAAATCTCTGATATACCTGAAAAAGAATTCAGAAAGTTGATTACTAAGCTAATCAAGGAGGCACCAGAGAAAGGTGAAGTCCAACTTAATGAAGTCAAATAAATGATACAAGATATCAGGGGACAAACCTTCAGTGAAATAGATAGCATAAATAAAAAACAATGACAACTTTAGGAAATAAAGGGCACATTCAGAGAAATGCAAAATGTACTGGAAAGTCTCAGCAATAGAATCAGACAAGCAGAAGAAAGAACTTCAGAGCTCAAAGACAAGGTTTTCTAATTAACTCAATCCAACAAAGACAAAGAGAAAAGAATTTTAAAAAATGAACAAAGCCTCCAAGAAGTTTAGGATTATGATAAATGACCAAACCTAAGATAATTGGCATTCCTGAGGAAGAAGAGAAATCTAAAAGTCTGGAAAACATATTTGGGGGACTAATTGAGGAAAACTTCCCCGGCCTTGCTAGAGACCTAGACATTCAAATACAAAAAGCTCAAAGAACACCTGGGAAATTCATTGCAAAAAGATCATGTCTAGGCACATTGTCATCATGTTATCAAAAGTCAAGATGAAGGAAAGAATCTTAAGAGCTGTGAGGAAAAAACACCAGGTAACCTAAAAAAGAAAACATATCAGATTAACAGCCGATTTATCAGCAGAAACCCTCCAAGCTAGAAGGGACTGGGGCCCTATCTTTAACTTCTTTAAACAAAATAATTATCAGCCAAAAGTATTGTATCCAGCAAAACTAAGCTTTATAAATGAAGAAAAGATACAGTCTTTTTCAGACAAACAAATGCTGAGAGAATTTGCCACTACCAAGCCAGCACTACAGGAACTGCTAAAAGGAGCTATCAAGTTTGAAACACATCCTGGAAACACATTAAAACATAACCTCTTTAAAGAACAAATCTTACAGAGTGGGAGAAAATCTTCACAATCTATACATACAACAAAGGACTAATATCCAGAATCTACAAGGAACTCAAATTAACAAGAAATAAAAAAAGAAATCCCAGCAAAAAGTGGGCTAAGGACATGAATAGACATGTCTCAACAGAAGATATACAAGTGGCCAAGAAACATATAAGAAACTGATCAACAGCACTAATGATCAGGGATTCCAAATAAAAACCACAATGCGATACGACCTTACTCCCACAAGAATGGCCATAATTAAAAAATCAAAAAATAATACATGTTGTCATGGATGCAGTGAAAAGGGAACACTTCTATACTGCTGGTGAAAATACCTGCACATGCATGTTTATAGCAGCAAAATTTACAATTGCAAAAATATGGAACCAGCCCAAATGCCCATCACTCAACGAGTGGATAAAGAATCTGTGGTATATATTTGATGGGATACTACTCAGCCATAAAAAGGAATGAATTAATGGCATTTGCAGCAACCTGGATAGGATCGGAGACTATGATTCTAAGTGAAGTAACTCAGGAATGGAAAATCAAATATCCTATGTTCTCACTCATAAGCGGGAGCTAAGCTGTGAGAATGCAGAGGCATAAGAATAATGCAGCGGACTTTGGGACTCAGGGGGAAAGGGTGGGAAGGGAGGGAGAAATAAAAGGCTACAAATTGGGTTCAATGTATGCTGCTTGGGAGATTCGTGCACAAAAATCTAACAAATCCCCACAAAAGAACTTACTCATGTAACTAAATACCACCTGGTTATTTCTAATAACCTATGGAAATTAAAAAAAAAAAAAAAAAAAAAAAGCTGGCCAGTAGAGCCAGCCAGCTACAGACCAAAATAAACAAACAAACAAAAAAATAAATAAATAAAACCATTCCCTGTTAAATAAAATGTATGAACGGCCATTGTTTTGGGCTGAGCTCCTGCACTAAGGCCCCAGTAGAGCAAACCAAAATGGAGTCACTCATGATAAGTGCCTTATAATCAAACTGAAACATTAAGGAAGCAGGTAAATCCCCAAACCTTTTTTTTTTGAAAACAGGAGATTCATAACAAACAATTGAAGAGGGCCCAGTAAACCTGAGCCAGCAAAACAAGGAAGTCCTCTCAGCTTTAACCCTTACAAAAAAAAAAAAAAAATGAGGTAACCTGATGTCACTCCACATTTTAATCTGTTTCCTTGTTTGCACTTTAAAAAAACAACTGTTCAGCACTCATTCTGTTTTATAGAATGAGATGTTGCCTGATTCTAGAATCACTAATAAAAGTCAATTATGTCTTTAAACTAAATTCATTGTAATTTGGTTTTTGACACTCTTAAATTGCCTTTTTTTTTTTAATCCCAATGAGGTTAAGTTTACCACCAATTACCTTTTTATTTGTTCTAGAAAATTTCCCTTTATACTCTAAAACATACAGACACTTGTGTTTTTTATTCTCCTGAGTATCATAACCCTTTCTCAGGAGTTTTGTAATACTAAACTATACTGGCCGTTACTCAGACTATGGAATCTTTAAAAAATGATAATATATTTTTAAAATGATAATATAATGAGTTTACACTATACAAAGAATTCATAGATGTGAATTCTTCTCCACTATGTAGAATATTTTTTTATATTCAATACATGTTGAATTTTTGCAGTGGGTCACATGAGAGAGAACACAGCAAACCTCCTACATCCACATCTGAAAATACAGCAGACTGAGAGATTCTACCTACATATGATTCCATTAACTAGGACTTCCAAACTTTATTTCTCATTATTATTTCATATGTTCTTCTATAATATTTACCTTATATTCCTGCTAAAGTTTCTTTACTTTTTAATATTTATATTAGAAGAGCAAGAATTATTAGCATGCCAATTTGACAGTAGCTACAAAATCCATGAGATATTAAGATATTTTTGTAATATGTACTTATTTTTGTGCTTAAAATCTTAGAGTCAGTGCAGAACAATGCAGACAAATAAAGCAAGTGTAGTTTGCTAAATATAAAAATTATCTATTCTAGGCTGGGCCCAGTGGCTCACGCCTGTAATCCCAGCACTTTGGGAGGCCGAGGTGAGCAGATCACGAGGTCAGGAGATCCAGACCATCCTGGCCAACAAGGTGAAACCCTGTCTCTACTAAAAATACAAAAATTAGCTGGAAATGGCAGTGCGTGCCTGTAACCTCAGCTACTCGGGAGGCTGAGGCAGGAGAATCGCTTAAACCTAGGAGGCGGAGGTTTCAGTGAGCCGAGATCCCACCACTGAACTCCAGCCTGGCGACAGAGCTAGACTCTGTTTCAAAAATATATATATATTCTGAAAAAAGACTAGAAAACATTACCATTCGGCAATCTTAAAATCAAAGTTAATAAATACAAAGACAAAGTAAGGAGTCAACTATCTATTAAATAAATTTCCTTTTCTTTTTTTCTTTTTTTTGAGACAGTCTCTTGCTCTGTCACCCAGGCTGGAGTGCAGTGGCATGATCTAAACTTACTGTAACCTCTGCCTCCCAGGTTCAAGCAATTCTTGTGCCTCAGCCTCCTGAGTGGCTGTGATTACAGGCACGCACCACCACGCCCAGCTAATTTTTGTATTTTTAGTAGAGATGGAGTTTCTCCATGTTGGCCAGGCTCTATCTAATAAATACATTTCTTATGAAGTGCAAGTATTTAGCATTTTAAAATTATTAACTATTAAAAGTATTCTTGATTTTTGTTTTGTTTTGTTTCTAGAAAGAGTCTTGCTCTTGTTGCCCAGGCTGGAGTGCAGTGGCACAATCTCAGCTTACGGCAACCTCTGCCTCCCCAGTTCAGGCAATTCTCCTGCCTCAGCCTCCCCAGCAGCTGGGATTACAGGCGCCTGCCACCACGCCCAGGTGATTTTTTTGTAATTTCGGTAGAGACAGGGTTTCACCATGTTAGTCAGGCTGGTCTCGAACTCCTGAACTCAGGTGATCCACCCACCTCAGCCCCCCAAAGTGCTGGGATTACAGGCATGAGCTACCGCGACCGGCCTTCTTGATATTTTATAGTCCAGAGCAGAAAGACTTTCATATATTTTATAGTCCAGAGCAGAAAGACTTTCATAAACTGATTTTCAACATATAATTGATTTTTTCCATGTCATAAGAACATGATTAAATACTATAATTGATATTATTTGTTTATTGATATTATAAAAATTAACACAAAAAATTCTAAAAGAAAATCTTGATGATGAAAGCACAAACCTTGTAAGAATAAAATGTGTTTAAATTCAAACTGAGCTTCTAAGTGGATACTGATAATGTGACCGAGAGCAAATGAAGTGTATTTGAGTCTATAACAATTATTTATTCATTTTAATGTAAATGTCATTTTAACAAAAACTAACGTATTGCCAGAACCACCTCATTTTAAATATATCCCTGACGTGCTTTAAAATCATTTTCTTATAGTGACTCACCATGTATTGAAACAACTTTCTTTTACACTCTGTCATTTTTATTTGGTTTATTGACTAATCCTTCTATCCTTTTGCCATTAAATGGATCTATATCCTTCACTTTAACCCTTTCCTAATAATGAAAGGCAAATTACATTAATACTCAGTAGGAATAAAAAAATTATACACTATTTGTAGGTTGTTAACAGTGCAATTAAATCATTATTTACCATGATCACCAGAGGAATAGTAGAAGATAAACAATTTGATAAATTTAAGGTGAGGCAGAACAGGGGACTTTAGCTCTCTAATAGGTAACTGTTTTAATTCAGACGTTCATAAAAGCCACAATCCTGCACACCAGGAAGGTGCCTTAGTGTATAGCTCCCAAAGCTAAGGGACATTAGGTAGAATTTCTTTGCCGAGTTTTAGGTTTAGAAAATGTGCTCTAACGGTCTTCTGAATAATTAAACCTATGTTTTGGCATAGAACAGACCGCAACCATTGGATTTTGTATTCCAGTGACAGATTTTTGGAAGTGGTAATGGATTTGCTACATAAACCTCCTGCCTTAGTTAAAGTGTATTCAAATCTCTCTTATGAAGGTCATTTTAAGCCTATCCAAGTTGAAATTAAATATAAGTACCACTGCTGTCTTTTGACTTCTTATGCAGAAAGCATGTTAGCATGTTTACTTCACACGTGTGAAGTGATTCTTTGTATGTGATTTTAACCATCCAATTCCACATACATACAAACACATAATGAGTATATAAATGGTAGTATATCAAATTAAACTATGCAAGGAATGGAAATTCCTACTGGAATGGATTAACAACTCTAATATGCTAGAATTGTTAAGAACGGGGTATAAGTTACATTCCTTCATTCATTTATTGAGTGCCTATTCTAGGCCATACATTCTACTAGGTGCTGGCAATACAGAAATGTCTGCATTCACAGTGATTTTAGTTAGGGAGAAAGGATGAAATGCATACGTTAGAAATTATTAAATACTATGGTATGTTAGATGGTACTAGTGCTCTGAAAAAGATCAGGGAAAGATTATATGGAGTGCGTTTGATGTGTGTGGGAGGATAGTTGCAATTTTTAACAGGATGGTCAGGGAAGACCTCACTGAAAAGGTGACATTTAAGCAAAGATTTGAAGGGGTAAGAACTTGCATCGTATAAATATCATGTGATATTTATGCAATAGAATCAGTCAGTGCAAAGATCCTAAGGAAAGAGCACACCCAGCAGCTTCAAGAGACAACAAGGGGACTATGTGAACAAGGAATGGCGGGGCGGATAGGAGATGAAGTCTGAGAGGTAACTGGAGGGGGTGCAGGTTGTGCCCTCTTAAGAGTGTACTTGTTGGATAATCAATCCTATGGTCTCTTTATTTATTATTTTGTCATAAAAAATGTCACAGGGGAGGCCCTCAACGATCTTGAAGTCTTTGCTCTTTACTGTGTAAATTGACAAACCATAGTGTGTTCTGAACGGAGAAATACCATGATCTCAGTTATATCTGAGTCTCTCTGGCTGCTTTGTTGAGACTTGACATGGAGGGGACAGGAGGGGAAGCAGAGAGAGCAGTTAAGAAGCTACTGAAGTAACTGCCGGGCTCGGTGGCTCACGCCTGTAATCCCAGGGCTTTGGGAAGCCGAGGCAAGCGGATCACGAGGTCAGGAGATCGAGACCATCCTGGCAAATATGGTGAAACCCCGTCTCTACTAAAAATACAAAAAAAAATTAGCCGGGCGCGGTGGCGGGCGCCTGTAGTCCCAGCTACTCCGGAGGCTGAGGCAGGAGAATGGCTTGAACCCGGGCGGCGGAGCTTGCAGTGAGCCGAGATTGCGCCACTGCACTCCAGCCTGGGTGACAGAGCGAGACTCTGTCTCAGGAAAGAAAAAAAAAAAAAAAAAAATGCTATTGAAGTAACTGAGGTGACAGTCAATGGAGGCTTGGACCAGAGTGGTAGTGGTAGAGGTGATAAGGAGCGAGAGGTTTCCAGGTATATTTTGAAAAAAGAGCCAAAGTGTGTGAAAGAAAAAAGACAATGCCAAGGTTTTTGGCCTGAGGAAGTGGAAAGATGGTATTAACATTTCCTGAGATAAAGAAAACTGTTAAAGCACCAGGTTTGATAGTAAAATGTTAATTTGGAATAGGAATGGAATAATTTAACCTCAATTTAAAACTAGAGTTAAGCTTTCTCCACATGGTAAATCTTTGGGTCATCTCCAGCAGCATTTTTTAATGAGAAAATAATAGATAAAGAGACTATAGGATTGATAATCCAACCAGTACGGTCTTGAGAGTGAATGTCAGTATTAATATATCATATCATAATTAAACAGGCAAGGTTCCCCTGTCCCTCTCGCAGGGCATGCGATGGGGGTGTGGCTCTCTTCTTCAGTGCCCCACTGTATGCTCAAAGGAGAGCATACAGACGGGCAGGCTGTGGGGCTCTGACACCACGGCAGTGTTTAGCGGTGCATATTTACAGCTGAAGCCCCGGTGGGATGTGTTACAGGGTGCTCTTTGTTTTGCTGTCTATAGGTGGCTTGTGTTAACCAACTCAGACCCCCTTCCTTATCATAAGGACAGAGGGATTTCTGTATCCCGGGGTTTCCTGCCTTGGTGTACGGGAAGAATCGGATCACACGTGGGCTTGGAGAATGAGTGCAAGATTTTATTGAGTAGGAGTAGGTCTGGGCAGATGGGGGAGCCAGAAGGGAGATAGTTTTCCCCCGGAATCGGGCCGCTCGGTGACCGGACTTTTCTCCGACGGCTCTGGCCAGACTCTGTGTTGTTCCACTAGTCAATGGCCTGCCGGGCGAGCTATTTTGCCATCTGCTCTGGATGACCAGCCGCTTGTGTCTTCTCCCGCCGATGTGTTCCTCACGCTGTCCAGCCGCTTGTGTGTCTGCCCGCTAGGGTCTCGGGTTTTTATAGGCCCAGGATGGAGGCATGGTGGGCCAGGGTGGTCTTGGAAAATGCAACATTTGGGCGGGAAAGCAGGAGTGCCTGTCCTCACCTAGGTCCTTTGGGGTGGAGCCCTAGCCAGGGACATGCTTTTCTCTACGCAGAGTTTCCCTGCCCCACTTCCGTATCAATAATAATGTGCATAAACCAGATTGTCCCAGAAAAACTGACAAAATTAGACTAAGACAAAGAGTAACTACTGGGAATTTAACTCATGTGTCATGTACCAAAGTGATTTTTTCTTAATGGCATAGAAGAGATTCCATATTGAAATGCCTTAAATATCTTATCCTGAAGTATCTTAAATCACTTACATTATATAATGTCATTAAATAATAAACTTGATTAATAATGGAATGAAATCTGAAAAAACTGATGGTCAAATGCCCTCCTTTCCAATCAATAGATAGGTAGACTGATTTCCACTTACATATACACACCTCATCACAGCAGAGTTCATTCATCAAAATTGAATTCAATTTACAGTTCAGCTCTTACAAAGTTGTCTCAACCTATTTTTGTGCTATATTTGTATTTAGCCTGCTCATTTATGGCTCATATTTAAAAAAATTTCCACAGGCATTAACTTTTGGCGTTCTTCTACCAGTAATAACTATCTTTTTGTTGTTGCTTGTTGCTAATGGTGCTTTTATCCTCCTTTGTTATTTGTTTTCATCAAAAATATTACAGAAACTTGCAATAAAACAGCTTAACAGACAAGAGCACTTGGTTTTTATCGTAACTGCTGCTACATCTGTTGTTTCCTTAGAATTAGCATTGGCATTAAAATATATAGTCTTTACCAAAACTTTAAATTTCCTTGATGATAGAATTCTTGTTGCTCCTGCCATGCTCACCATCTCAATGAATGCCTGCTTCTTCTTCACCTACCAGTGTAGTGAATGAGAGAAATCCTTTAGATAATAAAAATGATATACAATTTTGAAAGATTAGTAAACATACAGGCAACATAAAAAATGCCTCCATTCTCTAAGTAAAATAATCACCTACAGGAGAAATATCTGAAACCACTTCACATTTCAATAAACACCTAACTGTGCTTAAACTTACTATTACATTATTTAGTTTGTCAGTTTGATAAAAAGTAAACCACTATAAATCACTGACAAGCAATTAATTATTATTTCTAGGCTAAATACAAAACTCAGTGCGGCTCTGTTTTATAGGATTGTCTTCTCTGTGTGTGTGTGTGTGTGTGTGTGTGTGTGTGTATTTATTTATTTATATGTAATATAAGATGGCATTGCAATCTGTAATAGGATTGGCATTTTATTCCAGTTAGATTTGTTTCATAAAAATTAAAGTTAAAATTTCAGACAAAGGAACTATACAGATGCATCCTCCTGTAGGTCGATTGTCAGATTTTGTGATACATGTTTTAATGTGCTAAGTATACCCCCTTGGGAAACCTGTTTTCAAAAAAAATTTAACTAAGTCTTATCAGCAGTTAGTATCGAAAGAGGCCAGGTGCGGTGGCTCACGCCTGTAATCTCAGCACTTTGGGAGGCCAAGGTGGGCGGATCACCTGAGGTCGGGAGTTCAAGACCAGCCTGGCCAACATGGCAAAACTCCATCTCTACTAAAAATACAAAAATTAGCCAGGTGCCTGTAATACCAGCTACTTGGGAGACTGAGGCAGGAGAAGCACTTGAACCTGGGAGGCGGAGGTTGCACTGAGCCGAGATCACGCCACTGCACTCCAACCTGGGCAACAGAGCTAGACTCCGTCTCAAAAAATAAATAAACAAATAAATAAATACATACATACATACATACATAAAATAAAAATATAGAAAATATTTTTTTAAATTTTTAAATTACAATTTTAAATGTTTAATACTTTAGTTTTTTGCTAATGAAGAAAACTTTGTCATTCTGAAGTGAGCTTCACAGGATTATTCTATCAGTATTTTGTGAATGCATATATGCATAAACATAAAAATATTCATTTATTTTAAATAAGCAAAGACTCTTGAAACAAAAGTTTAAAGTGCAATTCTAAAGTACATTGTCTTAATGACCTTCCTTTCACCATATGAACAAGTTTAGTGCTCCAAGTAATCAAGAAGTGTTCATGAAGGATAACTGAAGCTATACAAGAAAATATACATTTGATTTAATATTTTTTTTTAATTTGGGGAAAGAGTCTACTACTTTGCATTATAATTGAAAAGTACATAAAATTATATTGACTGGACTATCTGACTAATACTAAAAATAAACCAAAACAAAGTAATATTTCATTCAGTTACTGGCATAAAATGATTTTGTTTTCTGACTTCAGTGTTGGATGGAACTACTCAAATATAAATATGCATACATTGATGTTTGGCAAGGCACTTGCGCACAATGAAGTCTTCTTAATTGCCAGCACAATTTCTTTTTTTACTGTTTTTATGTATATTCTGTTTCCTTGGCAGGTCTACACAATCGACACATCTGTTAGTATGGCAGAAGGCCCATTCAAAAATTGGAATACTGAAGTCAAAAGATATAAGTGCCAAACATAGGTGTGGTTTTAGAGTACATCTACACAAATATATTGTTTTCCTTACTTATATGGTTTTCTTATTTCTTCCTCTAGTTACTATAGTATCTTATCCTTAATTGTTTTGACATTTGCCTCCTAAAATTTTAGATCTACAATGTTTAAAATTATGTAGTTTCAGCCATATTTAAACTTAGGTTTACAGAGAAATAGTTACATAGAAATTAAATGAATTAATAAAATAATTGTGATTTAATATGTAAATGAACTAAACTTTGTTCATAATGATGAAAAAATATATTTAGTCATATCTACAAACATGATGAAATAAAATATATGTAACGATAATAATAAATACTAATGTGAAGTTTTTTGTTTATCTCTGAAAAAGAACCGTAGAATTAAGATAGATTATAATTTTAATTTCAAAAACAAATTATATTCGAAAATAAATATAATATGCCAATTAACAAAATAGAGAAAAAACATTTCAAAAATGTAGAAAATACGTTTGACAAAATTCATCTATTCGTATTTTTAAAAATTCTAGGCCGGGCGTGGTGGCTCAAGCCTGTAATCCCAGCACTTTGGGAGGCTGAGGCAGGTGGATCACGAGGTCAGGAGATCGAGACCATCCTGGGTAACACGGTGAAACCCCGTCTCTACTGAAAATACAAAAAATTAGCCAGGCACGGTGGCGGGCCCCTGTAGTCCCAGCTACTCGGAAGGCTGAGGCAGGAGAATGGCTTGAACCTGGGAGGCGGAGCTTGCAGTGAGCCGAGATGGCGCCACTGCACTCCAGCCTGGGTGACAGGGCGAGACTCCATCTCAAAAATAAATAAATAAATAGATAAATAAAATAAAAATAAAAATTCTAAGCAAACTAGAAATGACGGGTAAATTCCTCAAACTGAAAAAGAATATAAAAAAAATTTAGAGCTAAATTCATACTTGAAAGACTAAATGCTTTCCCCTTGATACTAGGAAGAAAGCATGGATACTGGTTCTTGTCACTTTGTTTAACATTTCCCTAAAAGGGATAGCAATATGAATAAAGCAAAATACAAGCAAACAAACAAAACAGAAGTATAACGGTTTATATGAAACATCACAGGGGAACCACAAAACAATTACAATAATTAATAAATAAATTTAGTGAGATTAGGTGATATAAGGTTGTATTCTTTCATATTAGCACCAAATAATTGGAACGTGAAATTTAACAAAACCATTCATATTAATGCCAAACAACATAAAATCCTTTTGGAATAAATCTAATAAAGTTGTTTAAGATTTCTACATGAAAAACTATAAAATATTGCCAAGGGAAATTAAGTAATAACTAAATACATGGGAATATATATACTATGTTCATGGATTGGAAGGCTCACTATCAGGAAGATGGTGTTTTATAGAAACTGAAAATCCAATCTTAAAATTTTTATTGAAATGCAAAGGACCTATGAAAATCCATGGAATTCATAAACTCTTTAAACCTGAGACCTATTATAAAGCTACAGGAATCAAAAGTGTTCATTAAGAATGAACATAAATGTATCCAGAATATATCAATAACTTGTTTGACTTAATAGCAAGACAAATAACTCAATGAGGAAATGGGAAAAAAGTAAACAGACATTTTACCAAAAAAAAAAAATGGATGAAAAATAACCATGAGATGCTTGACATCTGCAGTCATTAAGAAAATGTAAATTTAAGCAATAATGTCATACTTTTACAAACTCATTTAGAATGGCTACAACTAAAAAGACAACCATACCAAATGTTGGCAAGGATGTGAAGGAACTGGCACTCACACACACTGATGGTGAGAAATGCAAAATTTCATAACCACTAAGAAAAACACTTTGGCACTTTCTCAAATAGCTACATGTACACCAACCATATGATCCAGCTACTCCACTCTTACATATTTTTCCAAGAGAAAAGAAAAGACACATCCACACAAAAACTTTCACACAAATGTTTATAGCATCAATTATCCATAATAGACAAAAAGGAAACAACAAAAATGCTTATCAATGGATGAACGAATAAATGAACTGTGTTGTATCCATAAAGTTGAATATTATTTAGCAATAAAAAGGAATAAAGTACAGGCTACTTTATCCACATGGATAAACCTTGAAAACCTCACAGTAAGTAAAAGAAGCCACATACCAAAAAATCACATATTGTGTGATTCCATTGATATAAACTTCTTGAAAAAGCAAACTAATATATACTTACAGTACACATATTAGTGGTTGTTTGGGTCAGGGTGAAGGCAAGAAGGAAAGTATTGCAAAAGGGTATGAGGAAACTTTTAGTTATGACAACTATGTTAATTCTCATGACTATGGCAATGTTTTCACGTATGTCAAAACTGAGCAAATTGTACATTTTGAATTTTAAAATAAGTACAGTTTATTGTGCTTCAATTACACTTCAATAGACAAATCTTATTAAAAATTCCTGAAATTGTGTTTATGATTATGCCTTGGAATTTGGTTTGTGATTATGCCATATATATACATATATATATATATACACATATATATATATACACACATATATATACACACACACACACACACACATAGAGAGAGAGTGAGAGAAAGAGAGAGATCTCTCATTCCAGCCTATATTCTTGTCACAAATGGATTGTCTGAATTTTATGAAAAGTATATAGTTCTTATAATGCTAATCTTTCTCTGATATAGACACAGTAAGTCAATCTAAATATGCACATTTATTCTCTACATTGGAACAAAAAATAGACATTAGCACTCTAAATCTGATTCAGTTGCTATGCCAGGCCTAGCCTTCATAATTATAATTACTGAGCTCAGTTATCCACAACTGGAATTGGGAAAAGTACACATCTGCTTTGTCAGGCAACTTTCAGACCCACAGTTATAGGGTTGATGTTTTACGATACAGATACACTTGTTTCTGATAGATGAAGATGGCAAAGTTGAAGTATATTTTATACATTCGATAATGTTTTCAGCAACATCAAAACTACTAATTGTACAAAATATAATGTGAGGGAAATCATCTATGGCTGTACCTCTGACTCCCAGCTCAATGTATTGCAGTGGAAATTATTGGAAATGATTCTTCAAATTCTTTAGCATTAATTATCTAAACAAAGGGAGTATGCAATACACACAAAGCCAGATATAGCATTAACTTTCTAAGATCCAGATTTTCACTCCAAAAAACATTTATGTGTGTGTGTGTGTGTGTGTGTGTGTGTGTGTATATATACACACATATATATATATATAAACATATAAGTACACATGTATGTCAATGTTTCCAAGGCCAGTTCCTGAAATTATGCTTGCAGATGATCTTATAAAGAAAAAAACAGTTAAGTGGCTGAGGAGCAAGTATTTTAAACAAAATAATAATTTATTTTATGTAAGCCTAGATGTGCCTATGCTACACTATCTGTGCTAAGTAGGCAGTTCTAATGTGTTCTATCATAGGTGCTATTCCTTTATATTAGAAAGAAATTCAGGCCGACGCAGTGGCTCAGGCCTATAATCCCAGCACTTTGGGAGACCCACGCAGTGGATCACTTGAGTTCAAGAGTTGGAGACCAGCCTGGCCAACATGGTGAAACTCCGTCTCTACTAAAAATATAAAAATTAGCTGGGTGTGGTGGCGCATGCCTGTAATCCCAGCTACTCGGAGGCTGAGGCAGGAAAATCGCTTGAACCTGGGACGCAGAGGTTGCAGTGAGCCCAGATTGTGCCACTGCACTCCAGCCTGAGCAAGACTCTGTCTCAAAAAAAAAAAAAAAGGAAGGGAAAGAGACAGGGAAAGGGAGAAAGAAAGAAAGAAAGAAAGAAAGAAAGAAAGAAAGAAAGAAAGGAGGGAGGGAGGGAGGGAGGGAGGGAGGGAGGGAGGGAGGGAAGGAAGGAAGGAAGGAAGGAAGGAAGGAAGGGAAAGAAGGAAAGGAATGAAGGAAGGAAGAAAGGAGAAAGAGAAAGAAAAGAAAGAAAAGGAAAGAGAAAGAAAAAGAAAGAAAGAGAGAAAAGAAAAAGAAAGAAAGAAAGAAAGGAGGGAGGGAGGGAGGGAGGGAAGGAAGGAAGGAAGGAAGGAAGGAAGGAAGGAAGGAAGGAAGGAAGGAAGGGAAGGAAGGAAGGAAGGAAGGGAAAGAAGGAAAGGAATGAAGGAAGGAAGAAAGGAGAAAGAGAAAGAAAAGAAAGAAAAGGAAAGAGAAAGAAAAAGAAAGAAAGAGAGAAAAGAAAAAGAAAGAAAGAAAGAAAGAAAGGAAGGAAGGAAGGAAGGAAGAAAAGAAAGGAAAAGAAAGAAAGAAGTTCAGTAAACGAGGAGTGTGACTACATGGTAGGAGAGAAAAGGTCACAGGTCAGACAGTTTTCCAATGTTCTGCTTCAAAGTTGTCTACCTGCCTTTGGCAATCTTGGTAATTCCCCTCTTAATACATAGGTGTGTAGCAGATTAATCACTGATTTATTGTCAAAAGAAGTTAAACTTCAATCGAGTTCTCTGCTGGATATTAGAAAGACCTGAGAACATCTTGCCAATTGATTAAAAATAGTAAGATTTACATAAAAGTCTCTCCTTTTGCTTATCTCTAACCCTTGTTTATTTGTCACTGTACTGCCAACTTTTGCTGGCTCAAATCAGTGAAGACGTTTTCCTTTCAAACATACATTAGAATGATCACTGAAAAGAAGATCCCTGGGAATAAAATGTGTAAAAGTTTTTTTAAAAAATCTGAAGACATAAGACAAAATCACACAATGGGCATATACCGAGAAAATGTTGCAATTAGAGATTGTGATCAAATAAGAGAAATAAATTTGTCAGGTTGTATCTTCATTTAAAAAGACAAATAATTACATTTTACATAGTTGGACAGTTCCATTCTTGATTTTGTTTCTGCTAACGGTTTGAAGAATTAAACTTTCCATATTTCAATTCCCTCTTTCTGAAAGTAAACTAATAATAATAATAATAATGTTTCTACTGAGCTATTTATTTCATTCCCATTTAAGATAAATAAAAATGTAACCTCATATCAAATTCTGTTACATCTATTAGCTTCAGTCTCTGAGTATTTATTTATTTATTTTGAGATGGAGTCTCAGTCTGTTGCCCAGGCTTGAGTGCAGTGGTGCGATCTCGGCTCACTGCAACCTCCACCTCCTGGGTTCAAGCCATTCTCCTGCCTCAGCCTCCAGAGTAGCTGGGATCACAGGCATGGACAACCACACCTGGCTAATGTTTGCATTTTTATTAGAGATGGGGTTTCGCCTTGCTGGCCAGGCTGGTCTCGAACTCCTGACCTCAGGTGATCTGCCCACCTCAGCCTCCCAAAGTGCTGGGATTATAGGTGTAAGCCACTGCACTAGGCCATGTTTGAGTATTTATTACTCAAGTTGTAGTTTAACTTCCAAATTATCCAAACTTCAAATTCTATGTAGCATTTATAGATACACTAAACAGGTCTTTTACAATTTTAAGAATGTATTTAGGCATCAAACAAAGAAATATCAGGGTAATTCTGCAATACTGACTTGCTCAGAGATATCCCAAAAGTCCAAAAGTCAACCCCCAAATGCTTAATGATGTTTTGCAGAAAACGGAAAGATGTGCTTATAGAATATAAAGGATTTAATTAGTAGAACAAAAACCAGTATTCCATATTGCCCCTCATGGGAGGCATTTTGACTCTTAGCTATTGCACAAGTTGCACATACAGGAGGACTGTATGCTCCCTCTCACCCCCACCCCCCAAAAGCAAGCAGTTGTATGCAACAGCACAAGTTTCCAGTGTAATAGACTCCCAGGGAGAAAGGAAAGATTGTTGTACCTGACTGGAATGTCTTTAGGGATTCTCAGTTGTCAAAATTAAATTTCAAAATAATAGTTCAGTTTTTATTGGCCCATTCTTTCTCGTAGGCAGGAAGAAAAGAGGAGTATGCTAACATATCCTATATATATATGATGTTTATGAAAAAATATTACTCATGGCAGTTCTATAGAATGTCTCCTAGGTTTTATGATTTTGATGAAAGAAAAATATTCAGAGGTTGTCTCTTATGTGCAAAGCACATTTGCAAGACAATAGGCCAGAGGCAGTGCAACAATTTAATGCTTTTGCATTCTCTAAATGGATATATTATACAATAAGAAAAAATAAACTTTGGAACAGCTTGACACTTATATTTGAAAAATAGTTTCTAAGAAAGTGGAACTGAAACATCTTTGGAGAGATCATAGAACAGATGAAAAACATTACTAAGTCATCATGAAGTGTGGAAAAGCCCAATGGGGTGGACAAATTTTGGAACTATACAAAATTAAACCTTTCATGTTTCTATTTTTCAAGGAAATTAGTGTATTCTTATATTAATAGTTTAATTGAATAAGATCCATCCATTTGTTTAATTATTTGCAAATTTTGAGTGCCTGAAGATATCTGGCACTGATTAACCCTAAGAGTTTTGGTACTGTTATAACTGACAATATTAAAAATAAATTTAAATCTGCTGTTTCCTAATAAAATGCATACATTTTTCTTGCCACAGCTATATCTTTTCTAAATAATATAACTTAGCTGTCTTCTACATGCACCATTTATAAAGCAAAGTAATTTTATTCAATACCAGAGCCTTTCCTATTACTTTCTTAAGTCTCTGGAAAATGTTGCCTTTACATGAACTATCAGGTGATTTCCATGAAGCCTTATAGTTTTCTACTCACAGACCATACAAAGCAAAATAAATCATAAAAAAGAAAATAAATAAAAGCTGTAGATATTTGGGCTCATAAATATTCACCAAATGACTGCAGCAATACGTCTCTGAAAGTCCCAACCCTTTTTAATCTGTGGTGGGACTGTCCTCGCATTTTTCTGAGTCCCTTTGTTTACACTTAATGAATACAAAATTAGAGCCATTGTATACATACTTGAGTTAAATACAAGCAGCTTGTTTATTTGCACAATCATCTCACTGTCTACAGGTTATGTTCATTTGAAAGACAAGCCTATTAACCAAACTGACACTATGGTAATTTTGTAATGGTTTTAATAGACAAAGCAATCCAAATAGATGGATCAACAGTATACTTAGAAGAATAACTGTTGAGGAGGATGGTCACACTGGCAGCTCCCCCAGGACATTTATACATAATTTACTGACACCATATCATTTAGATTTTGTATATGCAACAAGCAATTTTGTAGATCCAGTTCAAAGGTCAGATGATTAAATCAGTTTGCCATCATACATGAGAAAATTAACAATGCATAAATTTCTAATGGTTGTGAACGTTATTCCTTCATCCCTCTGCATCAATTTGAAGAAGAATAAAGAAAAATTCAGAGCTAAATTATGTAAACCTATGAAAGTCTACTACTAATGACATCAGGATAGCTGGCCATACAGGATTTTAGTATAGGAGGAGGCAAACCTGAAAGTTAAGTATTGGGTGATAAAGACATACCCAAGACTGGGAAGAAAAAGAGGTTTAATTGGACTTATAGTTACACATGGCTGGAGAAGCCTCAGAATCATGGTGGGAGGTGAGAGACACTTCTTACATGGCAGTAGCAAAAGAAAATGAGGAAGAAGCAAAAGCGGAAAACCCTGATACACCTATCAGATCTCATAAGACGTATTCACTATCATGAGAATAGCACGGGAAAGACTGGCCCAGTTGATTCAATGATCTCCCCCTGGGTCCTTCGCACAACACGTGGGAATTCTGGGAGATACAATTCAAGGTGAGATTTGGTTGGGGACACAGCCAAACCATATCATTTCGCCCCTGGCCCCTCCAAATCGCATGTCCTCACATTTCAAAACCAATCATGGCTTCCCAACAGTCCCCCAAAGTTTTAACTCATTTCAGCATTAACCCAAAAGCCCACCAGTCCAAAGTCTCATCTGAGCCAAGGCAAGTCCCTTCTGCCTATGAGCCTATAAAATCAAAAGCTGGTTACTTCCTAGATACAATGGGGGTTCAGGTATTGGGTAAATACAGCTGTTCCAAATGGAAGAAATCGTCTAAAAAAAGGGGGCTACAGGGCCTATGCAAATCCGAAATCCAATGGGGCAGTCAAATTTTAAAGCTCCAAAATGACCTCCTTTGACTCCAGGTCTCACATACAGGTCACGCTGATGCAAGAGGTGGGTTCCCATGGTCTTGGGCAGCTCTGCCCCTGTGGCTTTGCAAGGTACAGCCTCCCTTGTGGCTGCTTTCACGGACTGGCATTGAGTGTCTGCGGCTTTTCCAGGTGCAGGGTGCAAGCAGTCAGTGGATCTACCTTTCTGGAGTCTGGAGGACAGTGGCCCTCTTCTCACAGCTCCACTAGGCAGTGCCCCAGTAGGGATTCTGTGTGGGGGCTCCAACCCCACATCTCCCTTCTTCACTGCCTTAGCAGAGGTGCTCCATGAGGACCCCGCCCCTGCAGCATACTTTTGCCTGGGCATCCAAGTGTTTCCATACATCTTCTTCTAAATTCTAGGCAGAGATTCCCAAACCACAATTCTTGACATCTGTGCACCCACAGGCTCAACACCACGTGGAAGCTGCCAAGGCTTGCGGCTTCCGCCCTCTGAAGCCACAGCCCAAGCTCTACGTTGGCCCCTTTCAGCCACGACTAGAGAGGTTGGGACACAGGGCACCAAGTCCCTAGGCTTCACACAGCATGGGAACCCTGCACCAGGAACCCTGCACCAGGCCCATGAAACCACTTTTTACTTCTGGGCCTCTGGGCCTGTGATGGGAGGGGCTGCTATGAAAGTCTCTGACATGGCCTGGAGATATTTTCCCCGTGGTCTTCAGGACTGACATTAGGACAGGGTCTCACTCTGTTGCCCAGTTTGGAGTCCAGTTTCACAGTCACAGCTCACTGCAGCCTTGACCTCCCTGCCTTAAATGATCCTCCCACCTCAGCCTCCCTAGTAGCCAAAAACTACAGGCATGTGCCACCACATCTAGCTACATTTTTTCTTTTTTTAGACAGATAGAGGTCTCACTATGTTAACCAGGCTGGTCTCAAACTTCTGGGCCAAAGCAATCCTCCCACCTTAGCCTCCCAAAATGCTAGGATTACAGGCGTGAGCCACCGTGCCTGGCTGGAGAACATTGTAAACATTTTAAATGCATATATAGGTTTGTGTATGTGTAGATGTGTGTGTGTGTGTGTGTGTGTATGTGCATGCATCTGTGTGTGTGTGGTGTATATATATCAATGTGTATGTGTGTGTCTGTGTGTGTATATATATATACACACACAATTTAGGGATAAAAATTTTCAATAAAGATTAGAACCAGGCCGGGCGCGGTGGCTCACGCCTGTAATCCCAGCACTTTGGGAGGCCGAGGCGGGTGGATCATGAGGTCAGGAGATCGAGACCATCCTGGCTAACAAGGTGAAACCCCGTCTCTACTAAAAATACAAAAAAAATTAGCCGGGCACGGTGGCGGGTGCCTGTAGTCCCAGCTACTCGGGAGGCTGAGGCAGGAGAATGGCGTGAACCCGGGAAGCGGAGCTTGCAGTGAGCCGAGATTGCGCCACTGCAGTCCGCAGTCCCACCTGGGCGACAGAGCGAGACTCCGTCTCAAAAAAAAAAAAAAAAAAAAAAAAAAAAAAAGATTAGAACCATCTTATATAAGGTTGTCAAACTAAAATATTAAGGCACAGTAAAGAAGGATAGTAGATGATCCTTCATCTATGGCAGAAAAAAATACAAGTTACCCGTATTTGTAAAATGAATAAAATACTTTGAATGGCTGTATGTGTGTGTGTGCATGTGCAACTGTGTGTAATTCACAAGTAGTAGCTGAACAATTAAATATTTAGCTTACCAATTTGTACTTTGGTTACCTCAGTCATCAGAATAGACCCATTCAATCCCTATTTCTGCATTTGACCTACAAAGAATTTAGCACTTGGGCCGGGCACAGTGGCTGACGCCTGTAATCCCAGTACTTTGGAAGGCTGAGGCCGGCAGATCACCTGAGGTCAGGAGTTCAAGACCAGCCTGACCAACATGGATATGTGTATGTGTAGATGTGTGTGTGTTTGTGCGCACATGCATGGACCAACTGTCTCTACTAAAAATACAAAATTAGCTGGATATGGTGGCGCATGCCTGTAATCCCAGCTACTAGGGAGGCTGAGGCAGGAGAATCACTTGAACCCGGTAGGCAGAGGTTGCAGTGAGCCGAGATTGCTCCACTGCACTCCAGCCAACAAGAGCAAAATTCCATCTCAAAAAAAAAAAAAAAAAAAGAAAAGAATTTAGCACTTGTTTACCTGAAGCACCTAGTCTACATGGCAATATTAGAGTAAGGGTGTTTTACAACTATCTGACAAATTCGAGATCATCTCTAAAATTAATCCAACTTAATTTATACAATGTACATTAAGCTTATAATTGTATAAATTGCATCTGCCTTGTCTGATAAGATTTACTCAAACAATAACATATATGAAACAATATTCAACAATGATACAGAACTTTATGGGGTGAATAGTTCCATCTTAAAACTCACAAATGATTTAGAACAAGTAGAATATCTCAATTCCAGGGAATCAGAAACATGTTCTTAAGTATAGAGTTATTGTTGGGAATTAACTATATCAAGTTTTCCTAGAATACCTATTTCTGCCATTTAACTTACCAGTTGTGACTACTATACACATAATAGATGTATTATAAAAATATTGCATTAGAAATAATTACAGGATAAGCATCGTTAATTGGTTAAACTAAAGCACATGGCTATATTATAAATATAAAAATAGCAACATAACTGATGAGGAAGAAAATGGCATTGGAAAAAAACATTAGGTTTAAATGATCTTTCTGTTTCGTCAAGTATCTCACAAACAATATGGAATTTAAACTGGGGAAGCGAAAGAGCTTCGTCTTCAATGTAACCTATAGCATCACTTTTTAAAATAGTTCTGTCTTTGCCTGGCTTAAATTATGATGTGATATCTTTTAACAGTATTCTCTTGTTTTGCTTTTTACGTTTTCTAAATAAACTAAGTAATTAATCATGTTGCAATTTCCACTTGCTGACCCAGCAGTCAGACAAGGTATGGGCCCATACTAATAATGAAATACTAATTTGCAATGTTAACACTTAGGTAAATAACATAAACAATGAAAAATGGAATATAGAATTTTTAAAAACTATATAACATTCAATATTACTGATTACCAATAAAATCCTGCATGCCATTGATATCAAGCTGCTATTAATTCACTTCTGTGAGAGGAATGTTAAGAGAAATGGACTAAAATAAAGTAAGTATAGTTTTCTACTCTCCACCTGTTTCCTCTTTTTTAAATAATATCAATAACAATCCTATAGAGGGTGGCATTGTATACAGACACAACTGGAGAAGAATGATCCTGTCCCATCCCCATGTAAAATTAATGATAGATTAATAATAAATAAAAATGTATAACACTTATATAGACATTTTTATAGCTTTTTTATGTACTCGTCAACTTTTATCTGTAACTATGAAAGCAAAATACATATTTATTAGTATGTCTTCATTTCCATAAATTCTCTCAGGTACCTCTTAGATTGGATGCTAAATGAGGGGATGAAACACAAGCCACTTATATTCTAACACTAAATAAACATTTTTGAGCAACGAGTCTTTACAGCAGAGAGCTGGTTGTTTTTACAAACCTTGCTATAAGTGGGTTGGCAGGTAGAAATTCACAGGACAAATAATTTTGAAAAAAAGCCATTTATTCTATAAATTTATATGTAAATGTTTTTATTTTTCAAGATTTGTGATTTTCATTGGTGGGTTTTTAATACAAGAAAAAGGTGTAAAAGGGCCTTTACTTCAAAGTTAGGAAAAAGTGACAAAAGCACAATCATAACTTTATTTTTACATACCGTTTTATTTTATGTACTGTTCTCAAGTAAATTGCACAACAGTTTTGGAAAACATATTTTTACTGTGCCTCTCCTAAATAAAATCTATAGCTACTAGTCATTTACAAACAGCCTTTCATAAAGTTAACCATATTCTATAACATAGCCTAGTAAATATTAAAAATTTTTGAAGAGAGATTAAATTACAAGTCTACTTAGATGTTGAACTAAAAATCAATACTGATAAAATAGCTTTTGAAATAATTATCAAACTCATAAATGCCTCTTCCTTTTTTATACATATGTATGATAAAATACATATATATGTATACACATTCACATGTACATGTGTGGGGACACACATCATTTTAAAAATATACACAATATATATTAATACTGTATATTTCAAAATTCTGCTTTTGAAATATACTTAGAAATTTTGAAAATATTGTTTATTTATGTCTATAGTTAAAAATTTTTTTTTACAATCTGTTAATCTTGATTCTTACCTCCTTTCACTTTTCTCCTTGAAATTAAAAAAAAAAAAGGAAGGATAGAAGGGCATGGACAGTAGGTAATTTTAATCCTTTCTTAGAAGTGATTCTATAAATGTGCTATGTTAATATAAATATGAATAACTGGGCAGAATATAGAAAAATAGTCCCTTCTTTATTGATAGATCCCAGGCACTATAATAGCATTTTAGTAATGAAGGTATGTATGTCACATTCTCTGCTGAATCATACCACCTAAACCCTTGTTTGTATATTATGTTTAATTATCAACTATTAACAAATTATCACAACATTTGTGAAATGACTCACAGCAACACTGAATAGATTATCTTTCTGATAAAGTTTCTTATTGTTGTCTCATGGATAAATAGTTCATAAAGAAAAACTACAGATTTTATTTGAGTGAAGTACATTTACGTGCAGCTACTGTCGTTTTGATTAGACTTGTTTTAGCCCTAGAGGGGTGGCTCATGCCTATAATCTCAGCACTTTGGGAGGCTGAGGCAGGTGGATCACAAGGTCAGGAGCTTGAGACCACCCTGGTCAACATGGCGAAACCCCATCTCTACTAAAAATACAAAAATGTGGCGGGTGCCTATAATCCCAGCTACTTGGGAGGCTGAGGCAGGAGAATCGCTTGAACCTGGGAGGCGGAGGTTGCAGTGAGCTGAGATCATGCCACTGCACTTCAGCCTGGGCGACAAGAGCAAGACTCCATCTCAAAAAAAAAAAAAAAAAAAAAAGAAAGAAAGAAAGAAAAAGAAAAAGACTTGTTTTAGAGTAAAATTGACTTTTTTTTCAAAACATTCCAAATGGTATCTGTAGATAATACCAGGTATTTACTAAAGGAAAAGAAAAATGAACTGAATTTCATGAAAAATTAAAATGTTTATTTACATTACCAATCAAAGAGGAGAGGTGAAAATAATCTATATGTAAATGCAATTTCAAGGGCATACACCCTGCTATTGCCATTAACAATTAGCCAAAACATTTGCATCCTAGATTGAACATTCTCCTCTGTCCAATAAAATTAAAATGTGTTGTGTACATGTGAAGCCTAGGAAAGTTGGTGGTAAGAAACATAATGTTGATGGAAGGCCTCACTTTGAGATTTCTTTTTGTATACTCCTAAAAGTATTAGGAAATTGGAATTCTGATGTAGTTATTTCTGTATACAAATACTGTTCAATACATTATGAAACTGATAAAAGACACTAATTCAGTAGAATAATATGAAACTAAATATTTGGATCTCAATATAATACTACAAATGATTATCCATTGCACATTATGATTATACTGAATGGTCATTTAATTTTAGGGCTCTGATACATTGGACACTTTTTAAGTCAAGACTAATATAAGAACTAATAATTACAATGTGCTTTGATACCCTAGGCTATTACAATATTCAGAGAATATATTATATTTGATATTATATTTCCAATGCACATATTAATGCATACTTGAGGAAAATATCCATTAATTATTAATTTTAATTTTGTTTATATTTAATTTAATTTTAATTTTAAAGTATTTTTATTCTTTAATTTTTAAATTATAGAATTTTAATGGCATACTATATTTATGCTGCCATAATTTATGGAAAATAATAATGAAAATATATTCTGATGCTAGAGTAAAACTGAGGACATGCCAGTTTTCATAACATACCATTAAAAAAAGCCTTTATAGAACATTATGCTTTCAGCACTATTCACAATAGCAAAGACAAGGAATCAACCCAGTTGCCCATCAATGACAGAGTGGATAAAGAAAATGTGGTACATATCCACCATGGAATACTATGCAGCCATAAAAAGGAATGAGATCATGTCCTTTGCAGGGACATGGATGGAGCTGGAAGCCATTATCCTTAGTAAACTAATGCAGGAACAAAACCAAACACTGCATGTTCTCACTTATAAGTGGGAGCTGAACAGTGAGAACACATGGGTGCAGGGAGGGGAACAATACACACTAGGGTCTGTCGGGGGTGGAGAGGAGGGGGGACGGAGAGCATCAGAAAAAATAGCTAATGGATGCTAGGCTTAATACCTAGGTGAAGAGATGATCTGTGCAGCAAACCACCATGGCACAGGTTTACCTATGTAACAAACCTGTGCATTCTGCTCATGCACCCTGGAACTCAAAATAAATTAATAAATAAATAAAACATTATGCTAAGTGAAAGATGCCAGTAACAAAATATCACATATTATATTATTTCATTTATATGAAATATCCCGAATAAGCAAATCTTTTGATACAGAAAGATTAGTGGTTGCTAGGAGCTGGGTTGACAGGTGGGTAGAATGGTAGGATTGGGGGTGACTTTTAACAGGTATAGTGTTTCTTTTGGGGTTGAGGAACATATTTTAAAATTAATTGTAGTGGTAGTTGCAAAATGCTGTGAATATACTAAAAGCCATTTTGTTGTGCACTTTAAATGGGTCAATTGTATGGTATGTGATTTATATCCCAATGACTCTGTTGCCATGAAAAGGATCTTATATACTAAAACAAATATGAAAACGTTTTTCTTATTTTAATGGCATCTTAGAAGAAACCTATATGCTTCATTGCCTGCTAGAACTAAGGACAACATAGTACTTGGCAGCCATTAAAGCTGCTTGAAGTTGAGCTTTGCTACAGCAGACATTCTTCAACTTAAATTGTAAGCTCTGCAAGATGACTTTTTTAAGGGACAAAAAGACTATGTTTCCATTATTCTATAGGTTAACAGAAATCAACCAAGTTTATTTTATAATAATACTTAATATGCATACTAATGGTATGTGTGTATATGTATACACTGTTGTCTATGTATATATTTGCTTGTAGTATAAGAAGACTAACTGGGCATAGTGGAGTGTGCCTGTAGTCCCAGCTACTTGGAAGGCTAAGGTGGAAGGATCCCTCAAGGCCAGGAGTTTGAGGCTGCAGTGAGCCATGATTAGTCCTTTGAATAGCCACTGCACTCCAGCCTGGGCAACAATATGAGATTCTGTCTCAAGAAAAAAAAAAAAAGAAAAAAGAAACAAAAATGACGAGTAGAGAAAACCTGCAGGCCTATTAGATTTGATTTATTATTGTGAAGGTAAAAATTTTTAGGGAAAATGAAAATATCCACTTCCTACCCCTTCCCAAATTTATTATCATAGCAGATAGTAGATAAAGTGATCCTGTTTAAAGAGAAAACTAGCTCATGTAATTCCTCTGCTCAGCACCTACCAAAGGGTTTCCCGTCACACTGATTAAAAGTTAAAGCTCTTAAAATGCCCTGCAAGGCTCTATCTACAACAGGGGTCAGTAGGCAGTTTCTGTAATTGAACAGATAGCAAATATTTCAGGCTTCATGGGGCCCCATCATGTCTTTTGCAACAACTCAGTTATACCCCTGTGGGATGAAAGCAGCCACAGGCAGTATGAAAAAGAATGAGCATGGCTGGATTCCAATAAACCTTTATTTATGGAACTAAAATTTGAATTCAACAAGATTTTCACATGTGAAGTAACATTTTTCTTGGGCTTATTTTTTAACCATTTAATACATGTAAAAATTATTCTTATCTCCTGAGGTATCTAAAAATAAGTGCAGTTTGCTGACTCCTACTCTACAAGATCTGATCCCCTGTTGTCTCTCTGACCTTATCTCCTATTCCTCTTCCCTTTGTTCCTCGGGCTCCAGAGATTCTGGTATTCTTGCTGTCTACGTCACACGTACATCTAGTGCCTTTGTATTTTTGTTCCTTCTGTTTGGAATAAGCTTCCCCCAAATAGCCACATGATTACTCCCTCAAGTCTTTCAAATCTTTGCTCAGAAGTCACCTACAATTTCAACAAGATGTTTGACTTTTATTTCTTTGCTTTGCTAATGAATAGTGCTTAACAGCTAATATGGGACTAATTAGTATTCCAGTGTCTTAATTTGAACACATAAGACTTTCTTGCCATGTGCTTGTAATTTGCAAATGAAAACCAATTATTGACTGAATAATTACAAGTGAGCAATCTATCACTCTCTCCCAAATATTTTTGTTTAGAGATAATGACATTTTTTTTGCATATGTCATCTTTAAATTACAGTATGTGTGTTCTCGACTCTGCTATTACTTTCTCATTATCGAAGATTGGCAGCTCAGATTTTCTTCACCAAGATAATAATTTTCATTCCAATTATACACAAAGGGCAGATCCTCCAATTGACTTCATGTATTCCACCATACACACACACACACACACACACACACACACACGCACACACTTCTATGTACATAATGATCACAGGACTAAAGTCAGAGCTACAGGGTACTGTACAGCTTGATTTTTATTAGCATATTATACTCTCTCCAAGAAGACATATAATAATTTCCTTGGGCAGTGTTCACAATAATATTTATAATGAAACATAAACCCTATTCTTGCACCAGCACTTGAGGGACATATTTTATCACTCCTATTAGAATAATAAAACAGAATATTAATGAAATGTAGTACCTTCCTTCCTCTCACCAAAAAAAGAAATCATGCCTACCACATAGAATCTTTTACTGTACAAAATCATCATGGCCTATACAATAAAGAGTGCTGTTACTATACTTGAAGAAATTATTCATTCCTGGATGGGATATTCATTTCTTAGAAATAATGGACTTTATTACACTATCATTGTGACAAAATGGATGTGATGAGACAATGAATGATGCTACTTGCCCTTTTAGTTAAGAGATACTGAAGAGAGGAACAGAAGGTAGGATAAAAAACTCTGAACTCAGAGAAGACGAATAACATGATTCCACTATAAAATGCATTAAAGCTGCTGTTTCATTAGTTCATAGTAAAATGGGGAACTAAAATCCAACAGACTACCATTTTTAATACAATGAAAACACTCTCTCTCTAGGACCTTATTTTTATTTCCAAATATATATATTTATTTGTAATATCTAGAAATAGTCCTTCCTGTTGTCAGAGGCATTTGAACCTGAGCAACTCCATCTTGAATAGGGGCTGGGTAAAATGAGACTGAGTCCTACTGGGCTGCATTCCCAGACGGTTAAGGCATTCTAAGACACAGGATGAGATAGGAAGTGGGCACAAAATACAGGTCATAAAGACCTTGCTGATAAAGCAGGCTGCAGTAAAGAAGTCAGCTAAAACCCACCAAAACCAAGATGGCAACAAGAGTGACCTCTGGTTGTCCTCACTGCTATATTCCCCCCAGTGCCATGACAGTTAACAAATACGTGGTAACATCAGGAAGTGACCCTATATGCTCGAAAAAGAGGACACATGAATAACCCACCATTTGTTTAGCATATAATCAAGAAATTACCATAAAAATGTCCATGGAGTAGCCATTTTTGTATTCCTTTACTCTCCTAATAAACGTGCTTTCACTTTACTCTATGGACTCACCCCAAATTTTTTCTTGCACAAGATCCAAGAACCCTCTTTTGAGGTCTGGATCGAGACGCCTTTTCGGTAACACATTCCTGGCAATGAAACATACTCTCATCTTTTTTTTTTTTTTTTTTTTTGCTTGTTTTGTAAAACATATTGTCAAAGTAATTAGTTTCATTAAGAAGAAAACATCTTTCTGTGAAAGGAAAAGAAATCTTGGGACCCCAAAATCCCTAAGCTAAAAAGAAATGTCAAGCTGGGAACTGCATCAGGCAAACCTGCCTCCCATCCTATTCCTAAATATGATAGTTACAAAAATTAAAAAAACAAACAAACCAAAAAACGACATACCTCCCTCACAATTTGCCCACAAGGAAATTCCTTGTGGACAAAGGACAGGCAGAACTCAAAGTCATCCCTCTGCTCATGTGAGACAAATGCATATCTGATTGCTTCCTTTACCCTATTGTTTCACTAACCTAGACTTAGGCATAAATGATTATTCCTGTAAATTGTGCATTCCGTGAAACGCTAATCAGAAACTCAAAAGAATGCAATTGTTTGTCTCTTATCTACCTATGACCTGAAAGTCCCCTCCCCACTTCAAGTTGTCCCACCTTTCCAGACTGATCCAATGTACATCTTACATATATTGATAGAAGGCTCATGTCTCCCTAAAATGTATAAAACCAAGCGGTACCCCTACCACTTTGGGCACATGGCATAGGACCTCCTGAGGCTATGTCATGGGTGCATCCTTAACCTTGGCAAGATAAACTTTCTAAGTTGATTGAGACCTGTCTCAGATACTTTTTGGTTTACAATCCATTTCCAGAATACATGTGTATTTTTTCCCTCTTGAAATAGTCTGTCCCTCTCTATGCACAGTCCATTTGTATTGTCCTTGTATTCTAAGATATGTGGTTTCTCATAAACAATAAAACATTTGGCCGGGAGCGGTGGCTCATGCCTGTAATCACAGCACTTTGGGAGGCCGAGGCTGGGTGATCACCTGAGGTGGGGAGTTCAAGACCAACCTGACCAACATGGAGAAACCCCAACTCTACTAAAAATACAAAATTAGCCTGGCGTGGTAGCAGGCTCCTGCAATCCCAGCTACTCGGGAGGCGGAGGCAGGAGAATCGCTTGAACCCAGGAGGTAGAGGTTGTGGTGAGCCGAGGTTGTCCCATTGCACTCCAGCCTGGGCAACAAGAGTAAACTCCGTCTCAAAGAAACAAAGAAAAAAAATAAACAGCAAAAAGCCACAGTTGCTTATGATTCCAGGTATCTGTGAAAAGTTTCAAAATAATTTCCTAAAAGTACCTGAATTTTTATCCAGGCTAATGTGAACAAAGCATTCAGACTTGATAATAGCAAAATATAAATTATCGTTCACGATTCATAAAGGATGTCAGAACTAGTTAGCATAATGGCATTAGACATTTTTGTAAGCTAATTACCACATTTTTAAAGTCTAAAATCTACTTGATGTGATTATATTCTCTTCATATATAAACGAATGTGCAATGTCATTAATTATAAAATTATTTTACATGAAATTTAAAATTTTAAAATGCAGTTTTCCATTTAAGAACCTCTTAAAAAGACTAGTCATGAATATTGAATTTTGTGTTGTTTTCCTTCTAAACATGTACTTCCTTGATGGCATTTTTAAATATTACGAAATGTCAGAATTTAAAATTATTAATTGAAAAGGATTTGAATTCTTGTTAATCCAATGGAGTTTATTTTTCTGTTAATTATTTAGATTAGAACAAACTGTGAATGATGCTGAAAATTAAAGAAAAATTATCTCATGTGATACTGTGGCAGGCCAGGTCTCAATAACGCAGGCTTCCATAACAGCTGTTTCAGTACTGACTAAGCAGTTAAGTTAAACATATACATATATATATATATATATATATATACGTATATATATATATACACGTATATATATATACGTGTATATATATAATTTCTTTTTTTCTTTTGAGACGGAGTTTCACTCTGTCGCCCAGGCTGGAGTGCAGTGGCGTGATCTCGGCTCACTGCAACCTCTGCCTCCCGGGTTCAAGCGATTCTCCTGCCTCAGCCTACCAAGTAGCTGGGACTACATGCACACACCACCACGCCCGGCTAATTTTTGTATTTTTAGTAGAGACGAGGTTTCACCATGTTGGCCAGAATGGTCTTGATCTCTTGACCTCTTGAGCCAACTGCCTCGGCCTCACCAAAGAGGGGCTGGGATTACAAGCGTGAGCCACTGCGCCTGACCTTTTTTTTTTTTTTTTTTTGAGACAGAGTTTTGCTCTTGTTGCCCAGGCTGCAGTACAATAGCGCAATCTTGGCTCACTGCAATCTCTGCCTCCCGGGTTTAAGTGATTCTCCTGCCTTAGCCTCCCGAGTAGCTGGGATTACAGGCCCCCACCACCACGCCCAGCTAATTTTTTTTTTTTTGTATTTTTAGTAGAGACAGGGTTTCACCATGTTGGCCAGGCTGGTCTCCAACGCCTGACCTCAGGTGATCCTCCCACCTCGGCCTCCCAAAGTGCTGGGATTATAGGCGTGAGCCACTACCCCCGGCCACAAGTTAAATATTAAAAGCTAAAAAAGCCAGTGCCCTTATACAAAGTCTGGAATGTAACAAAAGCCCACCAAGAGTTTTGCCTAGGCCTTTCCTAGGCCTTAAAACATGACAAAATAACAAAGGAATTCTTAACAAGGCCCATTTAGGATTTTATTGGGGGTCTGAAGAAACTCCCCAGGCCTCCAGGAACTCCCCAAACCTCCGTGATTTAGCAGGAGACAAGATAAGGGTAATTACCCTAGCACCTGGACCCATTTGGATTAAGTAAATGTACTGAGGCTCTAGAGGAAGATCTTCAGGACTCAGACCTTACTCATAGATCAAAAGAAGTTAATCACTTATGTCTTTAAATGGATGCACACTTACATGTAGACATATAGCTTAGAAGGTATATAAGCTCTGGAAAACTTTGTAATTTTGAGTTGGTGTGGAGATAAATTCCACGCCTTCTCCCTGTAACTGGTTGCAGAAATAAAACTCTCTTCCTTCCCAATTCATCTGCATCCCCTTATTGGGCTGCGAGAAATAGCAGCCCGACCCTCAGTTTGGTCCGGGAACAAAATTAAGTTATTTCCTCACCTGACTCAAGGGAAAGTTTATAACTCTTGCTGTGTTTCACGTAAGTAAATCCTCCTTAACATTTATTTTCTTTTTCTATCTCTTGATTTAAAATTCAAATCCATAAAAATTCAAACCCATAAAAAATGTCCTCACTTTAGGACTTTGAAAGGTAAAATCAACACTGTACATATCTTTAAGCTAAGTAAATATCAATCACAGTTAATAGAATAAAACTATTCATTTTTTAAATGGAATCTAAGACATTAGAAATCCATCTTGTTCAGGCAATAATTCAGTAATGTACATTCAAGTGTATATCATGATTCAGAGTATATTGTCTTTAATATTATGAGGGCATCCTGTTAAGTGGTAATGTGTTTTGTACCCATAACTGAAATTTTCTCAGGAAGTTGCATTCCAACAAACACCTAAAATGAGAAGGTGTATATGGGTTTTTTTTTTTTACATATTTCCATGGATATTCTTTTCAAGTAGTAGCAGGGTATCTGTGCAAAAAATGAGTTAATATTCTTTCTAGGTCATTGTACCTACTGTACCATAAAAAGAATGTCGAGTATATCAAACAATAATCATATAAAATGGGTTCCATTAACATAAAATTATATATTCTTATCACAAAGCAATGTGCTTGTAATTGCAATTAATGTGATACAGATATAAAATTAAGTATCCCAAGAAAAATTTAAAGACCTACTTTTTTCTTTAATAATATTAATACTGATTCAATAATAGATTTTTTTTTTTTTTTTGAGACAGAGTTTCACTCTTGTTGCCCAGGCTGGAGTGCAATGGCGCAATCTCGGCTCACCACAACCTCTGCCTCCCTGGTTCAAGCGATTCTCCTGCCTCAGCCTCCTGAGTAGCTGGAACTACTCAAAATGTGCCACCACGCCTGGCTAATTTTGTATTTTTAGTAGAGATGGGGTTTCTCCATGTTGGTCAGGCTGGTCTCGAACTCCTGACCTCAGGTGATCTGCCCACCTTGGCCTCCCAAAGTGCTGGCATGATTACAGGCATGAGCCACCATGCCCGGACTCAATAATAAATTTTTTTTAAAGATGTAAACTGCTAGCAGTTTTTCTACTGATCTAGTAGAAACATGCTAAAACATAGTTAGACTAGATGGCTAGTCAAGGAATTTTTGTAAGAAATGAAAATATAGGAGTAAATAAGTGAAATACTTTACAATAATAACAGAAAGCAAGAATTTTGTCAATATGTGCCAAATTTTTGTTTAATGAATAATAGATTACCAATATTAAAAATGTTGTTCTGATTGTCCTGATGTTACATATGTGCATATATTACATGTATTTTATATGTGCATATATTGCAGATATTTTAAACATACATATATAGGGATTTATATTACAATAAGAAAAATCAGATCCTAAATTTGGAAATGTGTATGTGTGCGTGTGCGTGTGCGTGTGTGTGTGCGCGTATAAGCCATTTACTCACGAAAAGTACAAACTATCTCACAGAATGATGTTGTTGGGGTTAAAAACACACTACCCCCAAATACAGCATCTTGGCATATTGAATATTTTATGTGGAAGAACTTTGAAAAAAGACAGGTACAGAAAGACCTCTCTGACCTTTCTGTCTCCCATGGAGCTATTCATGAGATCCTTATGTGAGCCCTCCCTACCCCTGAAGGAAAGAAGTATCCTCTCTCTTAAGAGAAGGGAGGGATGCCTACAGGAATCTGAGAAAACAGGTCTTTCTAAGTTTCCCTCATTTTACTAGCCTTAGCGCATACCTTTTTGGTCATATAGCATTTTTCTACAACATTCCACCTTTCCTCATGCCTAGTTTAAAAACACTCAGGCTTAACCACTTCTTTGGATTTCATTTCCTCATGAAGTCTCCCTTGTCCTATAAAACTTATACTAAATAAATTTGTATGCTTTTCAGTTTTTAATTAGTCTTTTGTCAGTTTGGTTTATGGGGCCACAGGCAATAAACCTAAAATGGGTAGAAGGAAGAGACTTTTTTTTGGCACGGAGGTGGGGGACGGAGTCTCGCTCTGTTGCCCAGGCTGTAGTGCAATGGCACGATCTCGGCTCACTGCAACCTCTGCCTCCCGGGTTCACGCAATTCTCCTGCCTTAGCCTCGTGAATAGTTGGTATTACAGGCGTGCACCACCATGCCTGGCTAATTTTGTATTTTTAGTAGAGACAGGGGCTTCTCCATGTTGGTCAGGCTGGTCTTGAACTCCTGACCTCATGATCCGCCTGCCTCGGCCTCCCAAAGTGCTGGGATTACAGGCGTGAGCCACCGTGCCTGGCCTGGGAAAAGACTTTTTCCCCTCCCCTACAATGTTAAGGAAATTAATTAGAAATATACACTATTTATGGTATTCATTTCCAGGTGAAAACTGAATAAAAATAAGAATTCTTAATTGTTATTTATTTATTTATTTTCTTGATATATATGGCAAACATCCATTTCAACAATGAAAATTATAATAATTATAATGTCCTGTATATGTTTGCATTCCTAGGTATGTCCAGAACATTATGCTGCTATAATATTAATTATATCACCTGAGAAAACCTCTTCTATTAATACGAAATTATTGTAATAGAAAATGTGAAATGAATCAATTTTGACACATAATCTGCCTTTTGTTCATTTATTTTTTTAATTTGTAAAAAATTATTTTCTGATTAAACAGGAATCATCTTATAAAACTAATGCTGAGGCCAGGTGTGGTGGCTCACACCTGTAATCCCAGCACTTTGGGAGGCCGAGGCAGGCAGATCACCTGAAGTCAGGAGTTTGAGACCAACCTGGCCTACATGGTGAAACCCCCGTCTCTACTAAAATTACCAAAATTAGCCAGGCGTGGTGGCGCACACCTGTAATCCCAGCTACTCTGGAGGCTGAAGCAGGAGAATCACTTGAACCCGGGAGGCAGAGGTTGCAGTGAGCCGAGATCGCATCATTGGACTTCAGCCTGGGCAACAACAGGCAGACTCAGTCTCCAGAAAAAAAAAAAAAAGGCTAATGCTGAGAGATTGCAGGCAAGAGTCCTATTTTTTTTTTAGTTATTTGTGTCTTTCTTTTCTGTCCAAGGCACAATTCCTAGAACATTATTTTTCAGCAGGTGTATTCCATACTGACTGAAATCCAAGGAGAGTGAGTGTAGAGATGTAAGATCAATGATTTATTTTCTCTTTCAGTAAATACCACTTAGTGCATACTCCCATCAGAAGACTGTTTTACGTTTGTAAAGCATTTACTAGTATTTCAAATTGCTTCCACATTCATTATAATTAACTGTAGCACCTTACTTGCATCCATTGGTGAAAGAATTAAAATAATAGAAATTTTACACATATAATTACAAATCTTCACATACCAAATAGAGAATCAAGCTAATTCTAACCAAAATGTCTGCTTCTGAGACAAAATTACTCTTTTGGCTATTTACTGTTTTGTAATAACTAGCTCCCCACTTCAACCATAGTCTAACTTATTCAATAATCACCATAACAGTAACATAAAACCAATAGCTTTGCATTAAATTGATATTTTAGGTTTGGGTAGAGTTATTTGACTCTTAGAAAGGGGGAAGGGTAAGGCTGGGTGTGGTGGCTTATGCCTGTAATCACAGCACTTTGGGAGGCTGAGGTGGGCGGATCATGAGGTCAGGAGCTCGAGATCATGCTGGCTAACATGGTGAAACCCCGTCTCTACTGAAAATACAAAACAGTTAGCCTGGCTTGGTGGCACGCACCTGTAGTCCCAGCTACTTGGGAGGCTGAGGCAGGAGAATCCCTTGAACCTGGGAGGCAGAGGTTACAGTGAGCTGAGATCAGGCCACTGCACTCCAGCCAGGGCGGCAGGGCGAGACTCCGTCTCAAAAAAAAAAAAAAAAAAAAAGTGGGCGGAAAGATAACTATGTGGCTGCTTCTGATGTGATACTTAAATTATTTATTTAAACCCTGACAAATTTCAAAAAGGATTTAAGACTGCTGTTTCAATTCTCAAAATACAATTTCAGCATAATTATAACCAAATACTATAATCAATCTAATTTAACAGTGGAGGGAATAAAGCAAATGAATCCAGGAATTGGGGTATTCAAATTTTTGGCTGGTACGGAAAGCACTCATTATTAACATCTATATTAGAGGAAAATGAAAACACCAATAAATGACATGGCATATTACAGCACCTATTAATATTTATAACATATAATTTAATAACTATACATTTTAACAATATACATAGGGGCTTGGCAATAAATACACTAGATAAAACATATATGTTTACTAGTAGTAATAATTAGATTCATATATCTCTCCTTTTCATACTATCCTAAAATCATTTTCATTATTTACATAGGATGAGTTTTCAAACACTTATGAACATTTCTGCACTAGATATGCTCATTAAGAAAGATTAAAATGAAAAAGGAAAGACTTGTCTTGAATTACAACTGAATCAAACAGTGAATTTAATAAAAATCATGCTTTTAGGCAACAAAAATCAGCTTCCATTGGTGAAATACTGACATCATTGGCAATGAAACTTTTTTTTTAACATATTTCAAACAAAGGTAAGAAATACATATTCCTCTGAGAACATCAATTATATTATTTTTAAAATTAGATTCTCCCATACTTTAAATTTTTTCCCCTCAAAACCCAATCTAATACACACAAACACACACACACACACACACACACACACACACACACACTCCCCACATATCTTCAATCTGGTAAAAAATTTATTTAAAATCAAAAAAGAGATTTTTTTAAAATTTATTTTAATTTATTTTTTTATTTTTTATTTTTTATTTTTTGAGACAGAGTTTTGCTCTTGTTGCCCAGACTGGAGTGCAATGGCATGATCTCAGCTCACTGCAACCTCTGCTTCCCAGGTTAAAGCGATTCACCTGCCTCGGCCTCTGGAGTAGCTGGGATTACAGGCATGTGCCACCACACCCGCTAATTTTGTATTTTTAGTAGACACAGGGTTTCTCCATGTTGTTCAGGCTGGTTTCGAACTCCTCACCTCAGGTGATCCACCTGCCTCAGTCTCCCAAAGTGCTGGGATTACAGGTGTGAGCCACCACTCCCGGCGAGAGAACATTTTTATATTTTCAATGTTTAATTAAAACATTTGTGACTGTCATGATGTATTAAACAGTAGGAGAACATAAATGCATATGTGCTTAGAAAGCAACAATTCCTCTTCAATTGTTAAGGATTACTTTGGTGCTGTCTTGAACTAATCAGAAAACACAGTTTATAATCTTATTTTATTTTATTTTATTTTATTTTTTTGAGACAGAGTTTCATTCTTGTCACCCAGGCTGGAGTGCAATGGTGCAATCTCGGTTTACTGCAACCTCCACCTCCCGGGTTCAAGCAATTCTTCTGCCTCAGCCTCCCGAGTAGCTGGGATTACAGGTGCATGCAACCATGACCAGCTGATTTTTGTATTTTTAGTAGAGACGAGGTTTAACCATGTTGGCCATACTGGTCTTGAACTCCTGACCTCAGGTGATCCACCTGCCTCGGCCTCCCAAAGTGCTGGGATTACAGGCGTGGGACACCGCACCCAGCCTCAAGTTTACTTTTAAAAGACTAGCAAATGTAGGGGGGTGGAGGGAGGGGGGAGGAATAGCATTAGGAGATATACCTAATGTAAATGACGAGTTAACGAGTGCAGCACACCAACATGGCACGTGTATACATATGTAACAAACCTGTACATTGTGCACATGTACCCTAGAACTTAAAGTAAAATAAAAAAATAAAAAACAAAAACAAACAAACAAAAAAAGTCTAGCAAATGTCCTATAAATATTAGTAACATCCTTAAAAGGGCAAACATTTATCATGAGGTCAAAAATAATTTAGTTCACTTCAAGAAAGTTCCATATAAGGAACTCACAATAATTACTATTGTCTACTGTTACATAATGTACCTATGAAGCAATGAGACAGATAATAACTAAGTCATCAAAACTAAGTCATCAAAACCAGTCTCATTACTTTTAGTTAGACCTTGTGTAACAATGACAAACAAAACTCTCCCATTTGTGTTTGGATATGGAAGACTATGCCTGCGGCAATGTCAAATTTTTGAGACCTTTATAGGAATTTAAAATACATATAATCAATATGAATAACTTTATTGCATGCATTACCATTGTAATTTTTTAATGCCACTGTTTTGACTAAAAGGACATAATATCACTAATGTTGAAGATACTATATTTATAAGCATTATCATGTTAATATATTTTCATATTTGATTGGAACTTTCCTTAATGGATTATAGAACTAAATGTTGCCTGCCTCTCCTATACTATTATTTTCTAATAATTCAATATTAAATTGCATTTGTTATTCTTTCAATCAGAAAGCACGATGAAACAGTATGTGCATAAAATTTAAATCTATTCATCCATTCATGCAACACATGTTGAGTTCATACTATGTGCCAGACATTCCTTAGGCAGTAGAAATACAGTGATGAGCGAGACAGACATGTTCCCTAACCCACATGGAGCTCACAATTTAGTAGGAAAGATAAGCAACAAACAAACAAATGCATAAATAAATCAGAGATCACAAATTGGACTCCCAGGGACAGAAATGTTCAGCAGACATGTTTTGTTTGGTCTGCATTTTAGTTCAAATATATTAATTGTTTTACAACATGAAAAAATATGGAATATTTACATTAACATTCAGATTCCCTGTTTGTCTTGAAAACCTTGGGATGCTTTCAACATAGGCCCTACTCCCAAATGGCCTGGGACTAAATAGCTATTGCCAATTTTAGATCCAGAATGTCATCTCCAGTGCTAGTCACACCTCTTGCGGTATTATACTAGGCCTATTTTTTTTTTTTAAATGGAGTTTTGCTCTTGTTGCCCAGGCTGGGGTGCAGTGGTGCGATCTCACCTCACTGCAACCTCCATCTCCCAGGTTCAAGCGATTCTCCTGTTTCAGCCTCCTGAGTAGCTGGGATTTCAGGTATGCACCACCACGTCGAGCTAATTTTGTATTTTTAGTAGAGACAGGGTTTCTCTCTGTTGGTCAGGCTGGTCTCCAACTCCAATTTCAGTTGATCCGCCCGCCTCAGCCTGCCAAAGTGCTGGGATTGCAAGTGGGAGCTACCACACCTGGCTTGTACTAGGCCTATTTTACCCATTTATTTCACCTGCCTTGGCTCCCGTGGCACCTGAGTTGTAACCACTGAAGTATATCTTAATTATAATATGTGACACATAAAATAGAGGAAAAGAAGAATAAGGTAGCACAACAGAACTGACTTAATAGATAGTAGTGTTATACACAGCATCTCTAAGGAAATGACTTTTAAGCTGCAACTTGAAGTATGAGAAGTATGGTGGGTGTGGCAGTGTCCTAGGCAGAAAACAGAGCAAGGGCAAAGACACAGAGGCAGGACAGCACTTCCCTTATTTGATAAAAATTAAAAATGGAGACCAGTGTGCCTGGAATATATAGTAAGCAAGGAGGAAAGTGGAATGACATAGAAAAGAGTCAAATCAGGCAGGATATTGTAGGTCATTGTAAAGATTTGAGTTTTATTCTAAATGGATTGGGAAGACATTATTATTTAGGTTTTGAATATCATTCTGTCTATTCTGAGAAGAATGTGATTGATGAGATGTGAGAATGAAAGTTTGCGAGACTCTAGGATACTGATACAAGAGTGTGTGGTGGATGGCCAACGGCCTGATTTAGTGTGATATCAGTAAAGATGGAGAGAAGTTGATGAGTATGACAGAGTTTGGAGGCAGAATAAATAGAGTCTGGTGAGGGACTGAATCTAGGTTGGAGTAGAAGAAATAAGGAGAGAAACTGGGCCAGTATTAGTACCATTTAATGAAATAGAGATGATGAAGAAGGAACTAGGTTTGGTGCAGCAGAAAAGCTATTAAAATTTAAGATGCCTGTGACTTATGTCAGCGTAGGCAGTTAGAGACACAAGTTTGGAGAAAAAGGAGAGTCATATGCATAGAAATGGTATTTAATACCATAGGATATGATACCATCAAGAGAAAGGTCTTAGAAAAAAAGTAGATGGTGGCCTAGTACTGACCTCTGAGAAACGACACTTACAGGTTGAGTAGGTGGTGTGACAATGATAAATTGTATGGTTACTGCCCACAAGAAACTTACAGTCTTCTAATATATACAAAAATCACTAGATTGTGATGAACCGAGTAGTAATAAGAACATGCTGTGGTGAGTTACAGAAGGAAAGTAGTATTTATCTAGGCAGAGAAAATCAAAGACAACTTGGTAGAGAAAATTGGTTGGCATTACAGAAGAAGTTTACATAGGCCAACATGTAGTGGGTGAGGATTGGGACAGGAATTTCAGGTAAGGAATAAACTTTCCCCAAAATGTGATACAGGACAGTGTTCATGCTCCAGAAACCATAGTTGCCGTAGTTAAAGCATAGGGTAAATGGTTAAAGCAAAGGGTAGATGGAGGGCAATACATTCAGATTATGATTTTATTTTTGTATGTATGTATTTATTTAAATTTATTTATTGAGATGCAGTGTCACTCTGTCGCCCAGGCTGGAGTGCAGTGGCATGATCTCAGCTCACTGGAACCTTCACCTCCCAGGTTCAAGCAACTCTCCTGCCTCAGCCTCCCGAGTAGCTGGAATTACAGGTGCCCACCACCACTCCCAGGTAAGTTTTGCAATTTTAGTAGAGACAAGGTTTCACCATGTTGGCCAGGCGGGTCTCAAACTCCCGACCTCAGGTGATCTACTCGCCTCGGCCTACCAAAGTGCTGGGATTACAGGTGTGAGCCACTGCCTGCTCCTGGCCCAGATTACGATTTTCTTAAATGTAAACATTAAGTACTCAAGAATATCACTTGGCCTTCATTCTCACTATACCACTATTTAATGTGACATCCATCGATTCTTTTATTTTTTTCTTTTCTTTGTAGAGGAATTTCTAGTAAGTTTCATAAATATAATAGGCATGTTAAGTATGACAGAAAGAAACACACATTATGAACTAAAGACTTATCATAGAAGCCATTTAGAAACTGGTCATGAAAACACCAACCAGTTCATGGCTCAATAATTTCAAAAGTTGTTTCCCAAATGGTTTCATTATATTTATTTCAGGGATAGGAATAATGTTGTGGTTAACGTTGTGGTTGGATTTGGTTTTTCAAGAGGTGACTGTGGCTGGGCACAGTGACTCACACCTGTAATTCCAGCACTTTGGAGGCTGAGGTGGACAGATCACCTGAGGTCAGGAGTTCGAGACCAGCCTGGCCAACATGCCAAAACCCCATCTCTACCAAAAATGCAAAAATTAGCCGGGCATGGTGGCAGACACCTGTAATCCCAGCTACTCGGGAAGCTGAGGAAGGAGAAGCTTGAACCCGGGAGGTGGAGGTTGCAGTTAGCTGAGATCGTGCCACTGCTCTCCAGCCTCGGCAACAAGAGTGAGACTCCGTTTCAAAAAACAAAACAAAACAAAACAAAAAAAACATAAATGACTGCTTCTTTTTTCTTTGAAAGGGAGTCTCGCTCTGTCGCTCAACATGGTGAAACCCCATCTCTACTAAAAATACAAAAATTAGCTAGGCATGGTGGTGCATGCCTGTAGTCCCAGCTACTCGGGAGGCCGAGGCAGGAGAATCGCTTGAACACGGAAGGTGGAGGTTGCAGTGAGCCGAGATTGCGCCACTGTACTCCAGCCTGGCAACAGAGAGACTCCATCTCAAAAAATAAATAAATAAATAAATAAAGTAAAATCAATAAAAATTGAAAAATTGATATCATCTTTGTTTACATTTAAAAATTTTTGCTTCAACTATTCAATTATTGCTAATACGGTCCAAGAAATAGGAGAAGCATTGTGTGACAGAGTACACACATATTAGATGAGGACAAGTGTGCACTGATGGCACAAGACACCCTAGTGACTCAACATAATATGTTTACAAATACCTAAATTACTCAATGGGAGTAACTGGGCTAATTCTTAGATTGGATTAAAAACAATTTTAGGCTGGGGCGTGGTGGCTCACGCCTGTAATCCCAGCATTTTGGGAGGCCGAGGCGGGTGGATCACCTGAGTTCAGGAGTTCGAGACCAGCCTGGCCAACCTGGTGAAACCCCATCTCTACTAAAAATACAAAATTAGCTGGCCATGGTGGCAGACGCCTGTAATCCCAGCTACTTGGGAGGCTGAGGCTGGAGACTCGCTTGAACCCAAGAGGCAGAGGTTGCAGTGAACCAAGATCACACCACTGCACTCCAGCCTGGGTGACAGAGCAAGACTCTGTCTCAAAAAAAAAAAAGAAAAAAGATAAAAAACAAAACAAAAAAAATTTTAGAAGCTATGATTAAAATGAATGATCATGCTACTAAAATGTAAAAATACATAACTCATAATTAATTTTCATAAAAATAATAGATGTTTGTTTATCTCAGCTACATACTTATACTACTAAGAGAATAAAACATAGTCAGATAATTTAATAATTGCCTAAACCAGAAAAAGGAAGCCACTACATGAATATCTGCCACACCTCTAAAATAATTATTATTAGTAGAAAAGACTTTATGATTAAAACATGTCAAAATCCATAGTGCATACACTATAGATAAGTGTTTTTGGAGAACCCTATGCTATTAATTTTGTTCAGTCTAAATCATTTATGCCTGAGAAGACTAAACATGTTCAAATAAGGTGTATTGTCAACTACTATTGCAGTCATGTTGTAATTGTCGCTTTGTGAAAGACATGCTGTTTTCCGCACCAAGACATTAGCTTCCACCCATGTATGGGTCTGCTTTCTTCATGAATCTAAAAGGCATCACTCTTTCACTATGATGTCACAATAAAAATACAAGGCTAATGATCAAAAGTGTAAAATATGAATTTGACAATTAGCATTTGAATTACTTTATCAAAAGTGAATTTCTAATTATTTTGAATCTGCATTTTCACCATACTTATCTCTTTGTTTACCTTCACATCTTAGAAAAGTTAGAAAATGGTGGCCAGGCGCGGTGGCGCACGCCTGTAATCCCAGCACTTTCAGAGGCCGAGGTGGGTGGATCACGAGGTCAGAAGTTCAAGACCAGCCTGGCCAAGACGGTGAAACCCCACCTCTACTAAAAATACAAAAATTAGCCAGGCGTGGTTGTAGGTGCCTATAATCCCAGATACTGGGGAGGCTGAGGCAGAGAACTGCTTGAACCCAGGAGGCGGAGGTTGCAGTGAGCCAAGATCACGCCACTGCACTCCAACTGGGGTGACAGAGAGAGACTCCGTCTCCAAAAAAAAAAAATAAAAGAAAAGTTAGAAAATGGTGCCATTCCATTCTACAAGTCATCAACTTTACTACATAGTTCATATGATGGATGGTATAGGCATGACTTTGTATTACATGAAAAATATCATGGCATATCACTCCTGCCCCCTTTTAGCTTATTCCATTCTAACAGTGTGTTTTGAAACTGTTATGAAATATCATGTTAAAGTACCTGACAATATGTATCAAGACTACAAAGCTATTTCTTCTCTCAAAAAGTACAGGTAGACCAAAATGCTATTGGGTAAAAGCCTCTTGTTTAATTTTGCAAAAAATTAAAATGTGATTTACCTCACAGATAAACAATTAAATGTGTAAAATAAAAATAGAAAATGCGTAAATGTGTCTTATTCTATATGCATTTAAGAGCACACACTGCTTGGTAAGAAATGTGCTAGCTGTTCAGCTTGGCTTGAATACATGCATTATGTAAATTAGTTTATTTAGAAATAATAGAAATAATAAAATAATGAAAATAATAATGGAAAACCATAGGTTTTATTACTAATGAGTTAAGTTTGTTTTGAGAAATTATTGAATTGCTTAGGGACTCCCAAAATTCCATCTCCATTTTTTCAATTTCCTATCTTTCTAATAAAGTACTTTTGGTTAATGTGGAATATCTATACCCAATAATGTACTTCAAAAAGTATGTGACATGGGTAATTTGTTGCCTATAAGGTCTGGTTCTGTAATAGCATATTGCTTTGATTTTTAAGTAATTAATCAATGGCTAGGTGTGGTGGCTCACACCTGCAATCCCAGCACTTTGGGAGGCCAAGTGGGAGGATCACTTGAGCCCAGGAGTTGGAGACCAGTATGGGCAACATAATGAGACCTCATCTCTGCCAAAAATTAAAAAAATTAGCTGGATGTGGTGGTGCATCCCTGTAGTCCCAGCTACTCAGGAGGCTGAGGTGGGAAAAATTGCTTGAGCCTGGGATGTGGAGGCTGCAGTGACCCATGATGGCACCACAGCACTCCAGCCTGGGCAACAGAGAGACCCTGTCTCAAAAAAAACCAAATAAATTAATTAAAAAATTAAAATTAAAAATAAATAAATAATTTATCAGATTATCTCAAGACTGCATTATACTGGCCGGGCGTGGTGGCTCACGCCTGTAATCCCAGCACTTTGGGAGGCTGAGGAGGGCGGATCATGAGGTCAGGAGATCAAAACCATCCTGGATAACACGGTGAAACCCCGTCTTTACTAAAAATACAAAAAATTAGCTGGGTGTGGTGGCGGGTGCCTGTAGTCCCAGCTACTCAGGAGGCTGAGGCAGGAGAATGGCGTGAACCCGGGAGGTGGAGCTTGCAGTGAGCCGAGATTGCGCCACTGCACTCCATCCTAGGTGACAGAGCGAGACTCCGTCTCAAAAAAAAAAAAAAAAGACTGCATTATAACCAAACCAATAATATGCATGCTTAGTTTGCATTAAAATGCAATAAATTTTGGAATGAGTCAAATCTGAAAAAAAATACTAATAGAACTATTAATTTGAAAAGATACGTGTTTATACTCTAAAGCATATGTGAGGGAGGGCTGTGAGGGTAAGCCAGTCAGACAAGACTTCCTAGAAGTGGAAGGGAAAGCTGACATGTTAATTTCATTGTTTTCTGGTTTTAAGGTCTTTAAGAATGCTTTGGAATGAGTCAATACATATATATATATTCCACCCTCTTCCCTTCTTGTGAGCTTGGAGATTTTATGGTGAAGAGATCTCATGCTGCTAGTACAGCAGAAAACCATATTTTAATTCTGGGGCTTAGGGTCTCGTTTAGTTACATGTTAGTTGCATCTTTTTTTCCTGATGTCTTACTTTGCTGCCTTTAAATGAAATATTTTTATGAAACATTAAGATAATGTACATTATTATGAAGGGAAAACCAAAACTGCAGTGTTTCTGAAGGGCATATGGCTTCATAGAACTGTTGGTGGTAGATCTGTGTTGTAGGATGGAATTCTATAGCAGAAGTAATCTGTGGCTCAAGAAAAAAGGTGGCTGCCAACTACCTGCATATGAATGAAACATTTGTGGCCGTTAAGACTACTGTTTTAAAACAGCAGTATGCATGCATGACCATAAATACATTTGACATTTATACAGCCCGGCTCTAATTTCCGTGTTCTCTGCATGTGGAACAGCAAGAGCCATAAATGTTATTACACATTGCTCCTTAATATGCAAAGGTGAACTTGTATACTCAGTACATATTGCCTCAGCTTGTTAATGAGCATTTCATGGACTGTGTGACTGCTGAATTACATTTTGCTAGAAACATTGAGTTGTTCCTTCAGGCCTTATGTTTCAGCAAGCTTGTTCTCACTTTGATGTATAAATTAGAGCAATACATTGAAGGGACCCAGGGGTTACTTGATGTTGAGTCTTTCCTGTGAAATTGAATATAGCTCTCTTCAAATGTGCTTCTGAAGCATTTTTTTTCCTTCCTGTATTTAATGTGGAAGAATTTCTACTGCTACAGAAATAAACCTCTAGATTAAAAATTACTTGTATTTACTTTAATAAAAAATTAGTCTATGGCCTTTCCCTTGCATTGTATGAGGAAATAAGAGAGTGAATCTCAAAGAAACACTTACACTAGGATATACATATCCCTTTGTTATTTGTTCTTCAAGAGAATAAAGAGAGTATTTGCGTGAATATGGTATTACTTTTTTTTTTTTTTTTGAGACGGAGTTTTGGTGTTTCACCCCGGCTGGAGTAAAGTGGCCCGATCCCCGCTCACTGGAACCTCCCCACCCCCAGGTCCAAGTGAGTCTCCTGCCTCAGCCTCCCAAGTAGCTGGGATTATAGGTGTCCGCCACCACGCTCGGCTAATTTTTGTATTTTGGTAGAGACAGGGTTTTGCTATGTTGGCCAGCCTGGTCTCGAACTCCTGACCTCAGGTGATCCACCTGCCTCGGCCTCCCAAAGTGCTAGGATTACAGGCGTGAGCCACCATGCCTACCACAGTATTACTTTTTGAGGGCTTTTTCCCTACCCTTTACAAGTTTAAAGACATAAAAGGATTGAGCTGGAGGAAATCTTAGAAATCCCCAAGTTCTGAACCCTCATTTTATAGAAAAACATGTTCAGGTTCATATTGCAAAAGAGGCCTTCCCAAAAACACACAACTAATTCCTAACAAGGTTTCCTAATCCTCAGGATGGTATTCTACATACTATATAACACTGCTAACCCAACATTGATTTTTTTTAATTATAAAATAAATTTGCTGGCTGAGCACGGTGGCTCATGTCTGTAATCCCAGCACTATGAGAGGTCCAGGATGGTGGATTGCTTGAGCCCAGGAGCTCAAGACCAGCCTGGGCAACATAGTGAGACCCTGTTTCTACAAAAAAATACAAAACATTTGCTAGGCGTGGTGGCACATGACTATAGTCCCATCTACTCAAGAGGCTGAGGAGTGAGGATCGCTTGAGCCCAGGAGGGGGAGTTACAATGAGCCGTGATTGTGCCTCTGCACTCCAGCCTGGGCAACAGAGGGAGAACCTGTCTCCAAAAATAATAATAGATAAATAAATCAATAAATAAAATAAAAATACATTTGCTAAAATAAGAAAACAGCCAGAAAGATTATCTAAGAATTTAATTTTCTTGGAGCTTTCTACATCTGTCTACACCGGCATTAATGCTAATGTATTAATATTAGTTTTGGCCTCCAATGCTATTAAAAGTTGTATTGGATCAATCTGAAAATCTAAGAAGATGGTAGAAAGAGCTGTTACTCTTTGTTCCTTGATTCTCTGTTGAGCTCAATAACTTAATATGCCACCATGAGTAAATTTTAAAAGTTAGAAATCAGTTTTGAATTAAATAAATATTATAGGCTATTTAATAAAACATACCTTCAAGATGATCTATGAATACCAAAATAATGTCTGAATGGATTAATCCCAGTTCTGGTCAAAGTCTCAAGAAAAATTAAAAATATATTTCAAGTATGTCATTCTAAGCATTAAAAGCTAAGTGTTGAGCTAACTAAAACACTCACATTTACACACCTTACAAACATGCTGCTGCAGAGTATACACTTTACATTTTAAATTATGGGCAACTATCGCTCAGAGAAACTATGGATCTGAGAATATAATTCCACTGAAGCTATGTTACATGAGAGAGACTTAGTAGTAGAAATCTGTGATGGTTAATATTAAGTGTCAATTTGTTTGGATTGCAGGATGCAAAGTATTGTTTCTGGGTGTGTCTGTGAGGGTGTTGCCAGAGGAGATTAACATTCGAGTCAGTGAACTGGGAAAGGCCAACTCACCCTCAGTCTGGGTGGGCATCATCCAATCACCTGCCAGCGCAGCTAGAAAAGGCAGTCAGAAGAAGGTGGGATAAGCCGACATGCTGAGTCTTCCTCTGGATGCTCCCTGTCCTGGAACATCAAACTCCAAGTTCTTCAGTTTTTGGACTCTTGGATTTACACCAGTGGTTTGCTAGGAGCTCTCAGGCCTTCAGCCACAGACTGAAGGCTAAACTGTTGGCTTCCCTACTTTCGAGGTTTTGGGACTCTGAATGAGCCACTACTGGCTTCCTAGCTCTTCGGCTTGCAGACAGTCTATCGTGGGACTTCATCTTGTGATCCTGTGAGTCAGTTCTCCTTAATAAACTCCCTTTAATATATACATATATACTGTTAGTTCTGTCCCTCTAGAAAACCCTGACTAGTACAGTCTCCTTCTAGTTAAATACATATTTTTTCATTATTTTCTTTCTGCTGGAAACTAGAAGAATAAAATTAAACTTTATTACTCTGCAAAACTTGTGGTCTATGAGTACCTCACAATAAATATGTGTTTCATTTAACACATATTTATTGAGTGCTCAAATACAGTCATGTTGATCTAGTCTACATAGATAACTGCAATATAAAGTAGTGGTAAGAATAAATGATAATTGGTATTGGAGATCAATGGATAGAGAGGTCAGTTCCAGTTGTTATGAATTAGAAGACTTCATGGGGAGAGTTTAACTTCAAAAATGGAAAGGGACTGGGCACAGTGTCTCATGCCTGTAATCCCAACACTTTGGGAGGCTGAGGAGGGCGGATCACCTGAGGTCAGGAATTTGAGACCAGCCTGACCAAAATGGCAAAACCCTAGCCGGGCTTGGTGGCGGGGGCCTGTAATCCCAGCTACTCGGGGAGGCTGAGACAGGAGAATCGCTTGAACCCGGGAGGCAGAGGTTGCAGTGAGCCGAGTTCGTGCCATTGCACTCCAGCCTGGGCGACAGAGCAAGACTCCGTCTCAAAAATAAATAAATAAATAAATAAATAAATAAATAAATAAATGGAAAGGACAGGTGACATTCTTTTGATCCAGTAGGGGTGCAGGGTAGGAGAGGAGAGTTTCCAAGATGGAAGCTGCAAGTTTATGCAAGTCAGGGAGCAAGGAAACCACAAGGTATGTTTAGACAATGTTCAGAAAATAAGTTTGGATGAGACAAAGTCTTTGTGTAAAGGAAGAAGAAGCAGAAACTATAATTGGGATATAAAGAACCTTGAAAGACTTTGATCTTTGCCTTTAGGAAAGTGATTTTTAAAAGTTAGAAAAGTTTACAATTTGTAATACACCTCTCCACCTTTTTAATGGAAATTCAACAGAATCAAAGCCACAATATAGAAAATAGATAAAAAGGCTAGTTTCTCAGGATCATGTCTGTGAGCCAGGATTCCTGATCCAGAGACAATGGCCCCGATGGGATGGAGCCCGAATGCGTCATTGAGAGTAACTGGAATGAGATTGTTGACAGCTTTGATGACATGAACCTCTCGGAGTCCCTTCTCCGTGACATCTATGCCTATGGTTTTGAGAAGCCCTCTGCCATCCAGCAGCAAGCCATTCTACCTTGTATCAGGGGTTATAATGTAATCGCTCAAGCCCGATCTGGGACTGGGAAAATGGCCACATTTGCCATATCGATTCTGCAGCAGATTGAATTAGATCTAAAAGCCACCCAGGCCTTGGTCCTAGCACCCACTCGAGAATTGGCTCAGCAGATACAGAAGGTGGTCATGGCACTAGTAGACTACATGGGTGCCTCCTGTCATGCCTGTGTCAGGGGCACCAATATGCGTGCTGAGGTGCAGAAACTGCAGATGGAAGCTCCCCACATCATCGTGGGTACCCCTAGCCGTGTGTTTGATATGCTTAACCAGAGATACCTGTCTCCCAAATACATCAAGATGTTTGTACTGGATAAAGCTGATGAAATGTTAAGCCGTGGATTCAAGGACCAGATCTATGACATATTCCAAAAGCTCAACAGCAACACCCAGGTAGTTTTGCTGTCAGCTACAATGCCTTCTGATATGCTTGAGGTGATCAAGAAGTTCATGAGGGACCCCATTCGGATTCTTGTCAAGAAGGAAGAGTTGACCCTGGAGGGCATCCGCCAATTCTACATCAACGTGGAACAAGAGGAGTGGAAGCTGGACACACTATGTGACTTGTATGAAACCCTGACCATCACCCAGGAAGTCATCTTCATCAACACCCGGAGGAAGGTGGACTGGCTCACTGAGAAGATGCATGCTCGAGATTTCACTGTCTCCGCCATGCATGGAGATATGGACCAAAAGGAGCAAGACGTGATCATGAGGGAGTTTCATTCTGGCTCTAGCAGAGTTTTGATTACAACTGACCTGCTGGCCAGAGGCATTGATGTGCAGCAGGTTTCTTTAGTCATCAACTATGACCTTCCCACCAACAGGGAAAACTATATCCACAGAATCAGTCGAGGTGGACGGTTTGGCCGTAAAGGTGTGGCTATTAACATGGTGACAGAAGAAGACAAGAGGACTCTTCAAGACATTGAGATCTTCTACAACACCTCCATTGAGGAAATGCCCCCAATGTTGCTGACCTCATCTGAGGGGCTGTCCTGCCGCCCAGCCCCAGCCAGGGCTCAATCTCGGGGGTGCTGAGGAGCAGCAGGAGAGGGGAGTGAAGGGAGCCAAGGGATAGACTTGTCATTTTTTTTCTTTGAATAAATGTCACTTTTTGAGGCCAAAAAAAAAAAAAATAGATAAAAAGGTAGGTATTATGGTTAAAGTAGAAGTACTGTTCCTTCCCCTGAATCTAACCCCTATACACTCACTGACCTTCCTCAAATATTTCAGATCTGCAAATAGTTTTAAGAAAAAATAAGGTCATATGTTCTTCAGGGAAGTTAATCAATAAACTAAGTGTTTTAAATATAATCTAGCACTGGTGTTAATCTCTTGCACCCAAAATAGAAAATATAAATCACTGCCTTTTTTAGAGTTAATTTACACTGAAACAACTTGAGTAATTCTTCAAAGAAGCTTCAAATGATCAACTTTAGCAATTAATTATAATTAGGACTCAGGTGCCATGATTTAAAAAAAAATTGAAAAATGGCTGAACAAACTAATAGCAAAATTTTCTTAATCATAAACTCATTATTAGGAGCCTCATGATGAATTAAATCTATAAATGGATTATCTTGGTGGAATAAAAGATAAGTGAATAATTTTAAAATGAATATAAGTAAACAACACAATGATATCAAATTGTCACAAGAAAACATTATAATAAATCTCTATCTAAAAAGTGAACATGCCTATTGAAATTGTCCACACAAATGACAGTAGGTAGCAATTATAGGATGAAAATCATTAATAGTTTAACTCATTTGCATTTTCCATTAAGAGAAAAATATCAAAATACCAAACATTTCAGGAATTCTTTGGGAAAGAATTTGTTTCAAAAATTTAAAACAGTAGGACACTATGATGACTATACATTTTTTTTTTTTTTACCAGAACCTCACCCTATCCCAGATACTATCTGTTTGCCAAGCCTCTCTCAAATCTATGAGCCTGCCTGCTATGATGTAGCTGTCTTCTGCACAAATAGCGCATGTCGTATCTTGCCTGTCCTGATCATACAAAGCTGTTCATCTTGTATACTCTTTCTTATGAAATTATAAGCTCCATAAGAGCAAAGGTTATAGCTTATAGCTGATACCTTCTTTTTTTTTTTTTTTTTTTTTTGGTATGCCTGGTTGTGTGATCATCAGTGCAGTTTAGAAAAATGAGCATTAGAGGCTGGGCACAGTGGCTCACGCTTGTAATCCTAGCACTTTGGGAGGTCAGGGAATCCAGACCATCCTGGCTAACACGGTGAAACCCCGTCTCTACTAAAAATACAAAAAAATTAGCCGGGCGAGGTGGCAGGCGCCTGTAGTCCCAGCTACTCGGGAGGCTGAGACAGGAGAATCGCTTGAACCCGGGAGGCAGAGGTTGCAGTGAGCCGAGATCGGCCACTGCACTCCAGCCTGGGCGACAGAGTGAGACTCCGTCTCAAATAAATAAATAAATAAATAAATAAAAGAAAAATGAGCATTAGAGTTGGGTTGTGAAATAGCCTCAGTTCTGTCATTAACTATGTGACTTGGGAAACTATTTTATATTTCAGAATTTCAATTTTCACTTTTGTAAAATGATGACATTGGACTATATCTTCTACAGCTCTTTCAACTTAGTGATGCTGTGACTAAAGGAAACTGGATAAATAAATGCTGTTTTTTTTCAATTTCCTATACATTTTCCTTTTTACATTCTACCTTAAAATTTTAAAAAATGAAATATTAATTTGAGGAAATTTATTTTAATCGAGTAGCATTACATTTTTATTTAAGATGAGTAGATACAGCTCATATGAACAGTTTCTAATAGAAGGGCAACTACATTTTCATGAAAAAATTCATTTCTCATTAATAACTAGAAGCATTGAGTAGAATATGAAATTTCTAGACAGACTTGTAAAAAACTACTGATAAAACCTCATCTGTATTGCGAAAACATATGCTTAGAAAGTAGTTGACTCTGATTTTTTTTTTTTTTTTTTTTTTTTAGCGTTAGGTGATTCAAATCCAGCTCAGAAAGTTTAAGGCTAATACAGAGCTTACTTTCATATTCTCCAAACCTACAGAGAATGCTGGTAATAAAATATCACTGCTGCAGACTAAACTAAATAAGGCTCATAATAATCTTTCCTTTGCCAAGTATTTAGAAGGTCTGTCCAGGTGAAAGTATTTGCTGTTCGTGGAGCTACCAAAGGCCTAGAATACCCCAGATGTTGACTGCATTTACATATTAACATAACTTAAGAAAGGTTATCAGCATGTCCTGGTTCCTCTAAGAAAACAAAGGAGAGCCAGAAAGGGATATTTGGAACTATCAAGAATATGGTGTGCTGTGAAAAGAAATTAAATTTTTGGACCCCAAACTCATTTACCCAAAGGGAAAAGTCAAGCTGGGAACTGAGTCACACAAACCTGCCTCCCCCTTTTGGTTCCTCGATGAGATGGCTACCAGATGAAAGGCTACACGCCTCCCCCATATTTTGCCCACAAGGAAATTCCTGGTGAGCTGTTAAAAACTTCTCCATGGCCATGCAAATTGATAGCTTATCTTTACAGGTGCAGTCACCCAGCCTGCCAGACAAAAATGCATAGCTGATTGTTCCCCTTACCCATTTTGTCTGTGTTAGGTAAAATGCAGATTCTTCACATTTTTCCTCTGCCCCCCCTTGTTTATGTAAAAACTGTGTGCTTCTCAATATCCCACCCTTTCCCCTTTAAATTTGGAGCCCTCAAAATCATCTTTGGAGAAAGGCGTAGACCTGTCTCCCGGGTGCATCCTTAATTTTGGCAAATAAATCTCCTAAAATGATTGAGGCTTGTCATTTTCCTCGGTTGACAGTGTCTACTGAAATTCAAAACTTTTTCTTTGATTTGTTTAGGTATCTTGTCTATATTGGCATTGGTACTGTGAAATCTTAGTCTAAGATTTTATTTTTCTCTTTCTTTGTAAGAGCCTAAGATTTATGTATTCCAATTGAATTACTTAGTCTATACAATACAAATCTCTTTTTCAATAGGCTGGAACTTTCATAGACCTTCTAATTTGTTTTATTCACAATCTTTCAAGGATAAGTTTAAAATAAAAACCCTTTTAAATATACGATTGATTTATATTTAGGGACTAATCAATCTATAAAAGTAGCTATTTCAATTATGAAGTAACTTAAAGAAAAGATTAACTGCTGAGAAAAATTGCAGCTCCATCGGTCAATAGCTAAATTACACACTGTTTTATTCAATAACTATATCTTCAAAAAATAACTTCCTAGTCTTGAAACTGTCTTTGCAAAAATTATAACTGAGGATATTATGATAGTGAAAGAGATTAGACCTAATCAACTCCATCTTGCTTCTAACCTTTAAGCTGTCCTTGTTCATTCCTAGGCATAGGCCAAACTAACCTTGGGAAGGAATTTAGTTTATGGTTTGACTCTGAAACGAAACTATAGCCCTTTCCCAAAAAGACTCCCTTCTTGCTTTGGGCCCAGTCTGCCTTTGTAGGACTAACAAACTAGCTACAAGAGTAGGAATTACGTTTAGGGGTCATGCAGCTTCTGGCTGCAAGAGTCTGAACCTCACCAAATTGATCCTGGAGATAACATCACTATTTTAAAACCTAAGATCAGTGCTTGAGAGATTTTGCAAACCCTGCACTTGATGGATTAGCTGATACCACCCAGACCTGGCTCAACCAGTTCTGTGATCCCACCCAGGAACAGAAGACAACAAGAAAACCTCACTTCGACCCCCCTATGATTCCATCTTCAGTCCGAACAATCAGTACTTCCCACTTCCCAAGCCCCTACTGCCAAGTTATCTTTAATGTTTTTTTTTTGAGATGGAATCTGCCTCTGTTGCCCAGGCTGGAGTGCAGTGGCATGATCTAGGCTCACAGCAACCTCCGTCTCCTGGACTCAACAAGTAATTCTCCTACCTCAGCCTCCCGAGTAGCTGGGACTAGAGGCGCCTGCCACCACGCCCAGCTAATTTTTGCATTTTTAGTAGTGACAGGGTTTCACCACGTTAGCCAGGCTGGTCTCAGGTGATCCACCCGCCTCGGCCTCCCAAAGTGCTGGGATTACAGGCATGAGCCACCGTGCCTGGCCCAAGTTATCTTTAAAAACTCCAATCCCCAAGCATTCCTCCAAATGCTCAGGGAGGCTGATTTGAGTAATAATAAAACTCCAGTCTCCCACACAGCCGGCTCTGAGTGAATTACTCTTTCTCCATTGCAGTCCCCCTGTCTTACTAAATCGTCTCTGTCTAGGCAGCGGGCAAGGTGAACCCGTTGGGCGGTTACAGTATTACAAAACTTATAATGATAATAGAACATTTTACTTAACATTATTCAATGCTTAACAGGACATAATTTAGGTTAATATTAGGTAATCCTGACCATAGTTATCTATGCATTTTAATTCTATGTCCCTACCTCTTACGGCTTATCAAAACGAAAAGGAATAATATATCCTACAGCAAGGTTAACACTTCGTATTTCAAAGGATGAGAGGTTATGTTTACAGATGCATTATTGGAATTCTATTTAAAAAGTATTTCCTCCCACATTCTTCTATCAAAAACCAGCTATGTAGTAAAGGTCAGAGTGGAAAACAGAGTAGTCTGCATTATATTATATGTGTACCATAATGGTGAAACATTATATAGACAGATTTAGGGAAAGCTTTTTTTTTAATCATATTGAGGTATAAAAGACAAAAATCAATGGAGCTGAAAACTAACCTCAGAATGACAGTGTTTTATATTTTTCTAAGCCTCTACCAAAAATTTATTTCACTTTCCTACTTAATATTCAAAATGGATGCATGCTGATTTGAACTACAGTGTCTTGCCAAGGCAGTCAGCCTTAGAAATACTAAATCCCTTTTACTTTTTTTAATCACAGTGTTAAATTCTCCTGAGTGAATCACAAGTCCAAGGTGGCAGAATGCACTTGCCAGTCTATTGCTATTGAAGCAACTTAATGACATAAAGAAGAAGAAACCAATGAACATTGTTATATATTTCATTTGATACTGATGTAGACATTTTGAGGAAATCTGCATTTTGAACCAGGTATGTTTTCAGAACAGATCTTGGACTACATGATGTCTAAAAACTAAATAATATCCAAGGATCCTTCATGATTAAATTCTCTTCACTCAGCTTGTCAAAGAACTCTGCTTCTTTATATCAGAACTATATTTTTTCTTTATCAGTTCATATTGTTTATATACAAAGATATTTCACAAACTATCAAATAGCACTGATAAATTAATTTGACTAGTGATTTCCTATACATATTGGCATATTGTTGTTGAAAAGAGTCAAATTCTGTAAAGTATTTTAAGAGATTTATTCTGAGTCAAATATGAGTGACCATGGCCCATGACACAGCCCTCAGGAAGTCCTGAGAACGTGTGCCCAAGGTGGTTGGGGTACAGCTTGGTTTTATATATTTTAGGGAAGTATGACACATCAATCAAATACATTTAAGAAATACATTGTTTTGGTTCAGAAAGGTGGGACAACTCAAAGTGGGGGCTTTGAGTTCAAGCGATTCTCCTGCCTCAGCCTCCCGAGTAGCAGGGATTACAGGCATGTGCCAACCACGCCCTGCTAATTTTGTGTTTTTAGTAGAGACAGGGTTTCTCCATGTTGGTCAGGCTGGTCTAGAACTCCCGACCTCAGGTGATCCGCCCGCCTCGGCCTCCCAAAGTACTGGGATTACAGGCGTGAGCCACCGCGCCCAGCCTCTTGGTGATTTAGACAATGGATTCCATTAACATCAAAGGGTGTTTTGAACCCAAAAGTACCTAAGACAGCTCTCAAATTTGTGAACTCAAAAGTATCTGAGACAGGTCTCAATCAGTTTAGAACGTTTATTTTGCCAAGGTTAAGGACATGCCCATGACACAGCCTCAAGAGGCCCTGAAAATATGCCCAGGGTGGTCAGGGTACAGCTTGTTTTTACATAATTTGAGGAGATATCACACGTCAATCAACACATGTAAGATTTACATTCGTTCCATCTGGAAGGGCAGACTAACTCAAAGTGATGAAGGGATTGAGGAGGGGGATTGAAGGGTGGCTTCCAGATCATAGATGGATTTAAAAATGTTCTGATTGGCAATTGGCTGAAAGAGAGTTATCAATAGAAAGCAATGTTTGGATTAAGTTAAGGGGTGGTGGAGACCTCGATTTTATCATGCAGAGGAGGCCTCCAAGTAATAGGCTTCTGAGAGAATAGATTGTAAATGTTTCTTATCAGATTTAAGATCTGTGTTGATGCTAATGCTGGTGGGATGTATAGTGAGGCATGTGCCTTCCCCTCTTCTGTCATGTCCTGAACTGGTTTTTCAGGTTAACTGTGGAATGCCCTTGGCCAAGAGGAGGGGTCCATTTAGATGATTGGATGGCCTTAGAATTTATTTTTGGTTAATAGTGCCACACAGCTAAATCCAAGAGAGTATCTTAGAAAATGTAAGTGATATCTTGTTAACTATAGAGTTAATTCAGTATTTGAATTATTTAAAAAAGATAAACCAATAAATGATAATATGGCTTTTAAAAATTTTTCCCAGTAGGAAGTTTTTATAATATTTTAATCAACAGGTATTTGAGGAATGCCAAATCAAATAGTAGATATCAAAAACTTAGTAAAATAAATATTTATTAATGATTAACACAAAGTGTCTGGAGTTGCACAAAATTGATAAAAATATATACTGTGTTACTTCCAATTTTGCTCCATATTCGCATATTTTAAAAATTTGCAATAATTACTTTGCTAAGATGGCAAGAACATACACAAACAACATGAAAAAGAACAAAACGTCTGAGTAAACATAGCCAGAATTGTTCAATAGTCATAAGAAAAATATTTAACATAATTTAGGACAAAAATCTAGGATGGAATAAAAGAAAAGACATGATGTAATCTTGGGTAGAAGGATTCAGCATCATAAAGCTGATGATTCTCTCTAAGTTAACATCAAAATTAGTGTGATTCCAACAAGAACAGCAACATTTTTAGAGCTAGATAAATTGATTCTAACGTTAATCTGATTCAACAATCCCATTTCTAGAAATATGGATAAATGATATGTGTGAAAGATTTTTCATTACAGCACTATTTACCATTTTATCATTTTAAAGCTGAAAATAAGTCCCAATATCCATGTATAAGGGACTGTTTATAACAGCTATGAGATAACCTACAAATATTTGTTTATATCTACATATGGAAACTCTGGAAACATATTTGAGAAACTAATAAGAATGATTAACTGTAGAGGGAAGTGTCAGGCCTCTGAGCCCAAGCCAAGCCATCGCATCCCCTGTGACCTGCACGTATATGCCCGGATGGCCTGAAGTAACTAAAGAATCACAAAAGAAGTGAAAATGCCCTGCCCCACCTTAACTGATGACATTCCACCACAAAAGAAGTGTAAATGGCCGGTCCTTGCCTTAACTGATGACGTTACCTTGTGAAAGTCCTTTTCCTGGCTCATCCTGGATCAGAAGCTCCCCCACTGAGCACCTTGCGACCCCCACTCCTACCCGCCAGAGAACAAACCCCCTTTGACTGTAATTTTCCTTTACCTACCCAAATCTTATAAAACGGCCCCACCCCTATCTCCCTTCGCTGACTCTCTTTTCGGACTCAGCCCGCCTGCACCCAGGTGAAATAAACAGCCATGTTGCTCACACAAAGCCTGTTTGGTGGTCTCTTCACACGGACGCGCATGAAATTTGGTGCCGTGACTCGGATCGGGGGACCTCCCTTGGGAGATCAATCCCCTGTCCTCCCGCTTTTTGCTCCGTGAGATCCACCTATGACCTCAGGTCCTCAGACCGACCAGCACAAGAAACATCTCACCAATTTCAAATCCGGTAAGCGGCCTCTTTTTACTCTCTTCTCCAACCTCCCTCACTATCCCTTAACCTCTTTCTCCTTTCAATCTTGGAACCACACTTCAATCTCTCCCTTCTCTTAATTTCAATTCCTTTCATTTTCTGGTAGAGACAAAAGAGACATGTTTTATCCATGAACCCAAAACTCCGGCGCCGGTCACGGACTGGGAAGGCAGCCTTCTCTTGGTGTTTAATCATTGCAGGGACACCTCTCTGATTATACACTCACGTTTCAAGGGTGTCAGACCACGCAGGGATGCCTGACTTGGTCCTTCACCCTTGGCGGCAAGTCCCTCTTTCCTGGGGCAGGGGCAAGTACCCCTCAACCCCTTCTCCTTCACCCTTAGTGGCAAGTCCCGCTTTCCTAGGGGGCAAGAACCCCCCAATCGCTTATTTCCACGCCCCAACCTCTTATCTCTGTGCCTCAATCCCTTATTTCCACGCCCCAATCTCTTATCTCTGCACCCCAATCCCTTATTTCTGTGCCCCAACCCTTTCTCTGCTTTTCTGGAGGGAAAGAAAACCCCACTCCTTCTCCGTGTCTCCACTCTTTTCTCTGGGCTTGCCTCCTTCACTATGCTTCCAGCTTCCATTCCTCTTTCTTCTCCCTTAGCCTCTATTCTTAAGAACTTAAAACCTCTTCAATTCTCACCTGACCTAAAATCTAAGCGTCTTATTTTCTTCTGAAATGCCGCTTGACCCCAATACAAACTCAACAGTAGTTCCAAATAGCCAGAAAACGGCACTTTCAATTTTTCCATCCTGCAAGATCCAAATAATTCTTGTTGTAAAATGGGCAAATGGTCTGAGGTGCCTGACGTCCAGGCATTCTTTTACACATCAGTCCCCTCCTAGTCTCTGTGCCCAGTGCAACTCCTCCCAAATCTTCCTTCTTTCCCTCCCGCCTGTCCCCTCAGTCCCAACCCCAAGCGTCGCTGAGTCTTTCTAATCTTCCTTTTCTACAGACCCATCTGACCTCTCCCCTCCTTGACAGGCCGAGCTAGGTCCCAATTCTTCCGCAGCCTCCACTCCTCCACCCTATAATCTTTTTATCGCCTCCCCTCCTCACACCTGCTCCGGCTTACAGTTTCATTCCGTGACTAGCCCTCCCCCACCTGCCAGCAATTTATTCTTAAAAAGGTGGCTGGAGCTAAAGGCACTAGGTTAATGCTCCTTTTTCTTTATCCCAAATCAGATAGCGTTTAAGCTCTTTTTCATCAAATATAAAAATCCAGCCCAGTTCATGGCTCGTTCGGCAGCAACCCTGAGACACTTTACAGCCCTAGACCCTAAAAGGTCAAAAGGCCATCTTATTCTCAATATACATTTTATTACCCAATCTGCTCCCGACATTAAATAAAACTCCAAAAACTGGAATCTGGCCCTCAAACCCCACAACAGGACTTAATTAACCTCACCTTCAAGGTGTGCAATAACAGAAAAAAGTTGCAATTCATTGCCACCACTGTGAGACAAACCCCAGCCACATCTCCAGCACACAAGAACTTCCAAACACCTGAACTGTAGCAGCCAGGCGTTCCTCCAGAACCTCCTCCCCCAGGAACTTGTTACACATGCCAGAAATCTGGCCACTGGGCCAAGGAACACCCGCAGCCCAGGATTCCTCCTAAGCCACGTCCCATCTGTGTGGGACCCCACTGAAAATCGGACTGTTCAACTCACCTGGCAGCCACTCCCAGAGCTCCTGGAACTCTGGCCCAAGGCTCTCTGACTGACTCCTTCTCGGCTTACCGGCTGAAGACTGATGCTGCCCCATCGCCTCAGAAGCCCCGTAGACCATCACAGACGCCGAGCTTTAGGTAACTCACAGTGGAGGGTAAGCCCGTCCCCTTCTTAATCAATATGGAGGCTACCCACTCCACATTACCTTCTTTTCAAGGGTCTGTTTCCCTTGCCTCCATAACTGTTGTGGGTATTGACAGCCAGGCTTCTAAACCTCTTAAAACTCCCCCCACTCTGGTGCCAACTTAGACAGCACTCTTTTATGCACTCTTTTTTAGTTATCTCCACCTGCCCAGTTCCCTTATTAGGCCGAGATATTTTAACCAAATTATGTGCTTCCCTGACTATTCCTGGACTACAGCCACATCTCATTGCCACCCTTCTCCCCAACCCAAAGCCTCCTTCGAGTCTTCCTCTCATATCCCCCCACCTTAACCCACAAGTATGGGACATCTCTACTCCTTCCCTGGCAACCGATCACATGCCCATTACCATCTCATTAAAACCTAGTCACCCTTACCCCGCTCAACGGCAATATCCCATCCCACAGCACGCTTTGAAAGGATTAAAGCCTGTTAACACTAGCCTGCTACAGCATGGGCTTTTAAAGCCTATAAACTCTCCTTACCATTCCCCCATTTTACCTGTCCTAAAACCAGACAAGCCTTACAAGTTAGTTCAGAATCTGCACCTTATCAACCAAATTGTTTTGCCTATCCACCCCGTGGTGCCAAACCCATATACTCTCCTATCCTCAATACCTCCCTCTACTACCCATTATTCTGTTCTAGATCTCAAACATGCTTTCTTTACTGTTCCTTTGCACCCTTCATCCCAACCTGTTTTCGCTTTCACTTGGATTGACCCTGACACCGATTAGGCCCAGCAAATTACCTGGGCTGTACTGCCACAAGGCTTCACAGACAGCCCCCATTACTTCAGTCAAGCCCAAATTTCATCCTTATCTGTTACCTATTTCGGCATAATTCTCCTAAAAACACACGTGCTTTCCCTGCTGATCGTGTCCGATTAATCTCCCAAACCTCAATCCCTTACAAAACAACAACTCCTTTCCTTCCTAGGCATGGTTAGTGCAGTCAGAATTCTTACACAAGAGCCAGGACTGCACCCTGTAGCCTTTCTGTCCAAACAACTTGACCTTACTGTTTTAGCCTAGCCCTCATGTCTGCGTACAGAGGCTGCCGCTGCTTTAATACTTTTAGAGGCCCTAAAAATCACAAACTATGCTCAACTCACTCTCTACATTTCTCATAACTTCCAAAATCTATTTTCTTCCTCATACCTGACGCATATACTTTCTGCTCCCCGGCTCCTTCAGCTGTACTCACACTTTCTTAAGTCCCACAATTACCATTGTTCCTGGCCAGGACTTCAATCTGGCTTCCCACATTATTCCTGATACCACACCTGACCCCCACGACTGTATCTCTCTGGTCCACCTGATATTCACCCCATTTCCCCATATTTCCTTCTTTCCTGTTCCTCACCCTGATCACGCTTGATTTATTGATGGCAGTTCCACCAGGCCTAATCGCCACATACCAGCAAAGTCAGGCTATGCTATAGTACAAGCCACTAGCCCACCTCTCAGAACCTCTCATTTCCTTTCCATCATGGAAATCTATCCTTAAGGAAATAACTTCCCAGTGTTCCATCTGCTATTCTACTACTCCTCAGGGATTATTCAGGCCCCCTCCCTTCCCTACACATCAAGCTCGAGGATTTGCCCCCACCCAGGACTGGCAAATTAGCTTTACTCAACATGCCCGAGTCAGGAAACTAAAATACCTCTTAGTCTAAATAGACACTTTCACTGAATAAAGTAAAGGCCTTTCCTACAGGGTCTGAGAAGGCCTCCGCAGTCATTTCTTCCCTTCTGTCAGACGTAATTCCTCAGTTTAGCCTTCCCACCTCTATACCGTCTGATAACAGATGAGCCTTTATTAGTCAAATCACCAAGCAGTTTTTCAGGCTCTTAGTATTCAGTGAAACCTTTATATCCCTTACGGTCCTCCTTCTTCAAGAAAGGTAGAATGGACTAAAGGTCTTTTAAAAACACACCTCACCAAGCTCAGCCACCAAAAAGGACTGGACAATACTTTTATCACTTTCCCTTCTCAGAATTCAGGCCTGTCCTCGGAATGCTACAAGGTACAGCCCATTTAAGCTCCTGTATAGATGCTCCTTTTTATTAGGCCCCAGTCTCATTCCAGACACCAGACCAACTTAGACTGTGCCCCCAAAAAAACTTGTCATCCCTACTATTTTCTGTCTAGTCATACTCCTATTCTCCATTCTCAACTACTCATACATGCCCTGCTCTTGTTTACACTGCCAGTTTACACTGTTTCTCCAAGCCATCACAGGTGATATCTCCTCGTGCTATCCCCAAACCGCTACTCTTAACTCTTGAAGTAAATAAATAATCTTTGCTGGCAGGACTATGCTGAATCTCCTTAGGCACTCTCTAATCAGATGTCCTAGGTCCTCCCAATTCTTAGACCTTTTATATCTGTTTTTCTCCTTCTTATTCCATTTAGTTTTTCAGTTCATACAAAACCGTATCCAGGCCATCACCAATCATTCTATACGACAAATGTTTCTTCTAACATCCCCACAATATCACCCCTTACCACAAGACCTCCCTTCAGCTTAATCTTTCCCACTCTAGGCTCCCACACAGCCCCTAATGCTGCTCGAAGCAGCCCTGAGAAACATCGTCCACTCTCTCTCCATACCACCCCCCAAAAATTTTCACCGCCCCAACACTTCAACACTATTTTGTTTTATTTTTCTTATTAAGAAGGCAGGAATGTCAGGCCTCTGAGCCCAAGCGAAGCCATCACATCCCCTGTGACTTGCAGGGATACGACCAGATGGCCTGAAGTAACTGAAGAATCACAAAAGAAGTGAATATGCCCTGCCCCACCTTAACTGATGACATTCCACCACAAAAGAAGTGTAAATGGCTGATCCTTGCCTTAACTGGTGACGTTACCTTGTGAAAGTCCTTTTCCTGGCTCATCCTGGCTCAAAAACACCCCCACTGAGCACCTCGCAACCCCCACTCCTGCCCGCCAGGGAACAACCCCCTTTGACTGTAATTTTCCTTTACCTACCCAAATGCTATAAAACGGCCCCACCCCTATCTCCCTTCACTGACTCTCTTTTCGGACTCAGCCCACCTGCACCCAGGTGAAATAAACAGCCTCGTTGCTCACACAAAGCCTGTTTGGTGGTCTCTTCACAGGGACGTGCATGAAAGGAAGGATATATGGAAGAAATAGTGACAAGCTTGGAAGAAAGGCTTCTTCATGTGTACTTTGTTACATGGTTTTAATTTTTAAATCATTTGAATACATCATCTATTAAAAATCCCCAAAATAAATTTAAAAAATTAAAAACCCATAAGAAAAACACTTAAGGGAAAATATATGAACTACATATTCTGCTAAGTGCTGTAAATGCTTGTTCTGTCAATATGATGGAATCTTTTAAATATATGTTCTTTATTTTCTTTAATGATTATTTTGATTAATATATAGAGAGCAGCCATCATTCATCCTTGGCTGCTTGAAACTTGGAGTTGATTTTCAGAGAAATTATTGAGATTACTACTTTCCACTTAAACATTATACCGTAGTGCACATTGAATTGGTTTTGATTACTACCAAAAGGAGTAATTTTCCCCAACAATTTTTAGCATATAAATACAAGCAGAATTTCACTGAATGACAGCAGGATACATAGCAGTGAAATATACAAAAATTGAACTAAATTTTTGTGTTTTGTGTAAAAGAATGGCTCTGGTCCCTGCTCTCAAGTTGCTAACACTAAATTGACTCAAAACATGTATTGTTTGCTTTCTATGGGCCAAAACCTGCCCCTTATTCTTTCTCCATTTTTATTCTAGGCAGAAGATATTACAGAATTCAGGAGTCAGAGAATTAAAGAATTTCTTAGCAACCACAGGCTCACTGAGGTTTATTCAATTTTAGAGAATTTAATTCAAAAGATTAAAATGATGAATGTAGCTCAGCATATGACCTGCAGTTGAAGACACCTGGCTCACAGCTTGCTTTAAGTTTGATACATGAGGTTATTTGGCATTTACTGCCATGAAGTTTGAAGGAAGCATACTGAAAAGAAGACACAGCAATAAACTTTTGTCATTAATTTCTCTCTCACAGTTTCTGACAAGCTGGAAAGAAATGTCATTTGTATTTCTTAATTGGTTTCATTTCCACGCAAATACAGACTTTCAGTAAAAGTTTCTAAAAAGCTATAGACATGAAATTATTAACAACACAAAGCACATACTGAGCCAAGGTGTGAATAGATAATTCTAACAGAAAAGTTACAAAAAAAGTCAAGATCAAAATATGATTAAGACAGGAGAGCAGTTTTTAGAGATGTTTTGGTAAAATAGTTATGAGTTACTAGCCTATACTTTGTAAACATACTTGATGTGGCCAGTATGGCATGTCATTACCCTTTTAGGAACACACAGATCCATATGTATTTACAATGATTAATTAAAAGAGCATTCAGGGGCCGGGTGCAGTGGCTCAAGCCTGTAATCCCAGCACTTTGGGAGGCTGAGGTGGGCTGATCACCTGAGGTTGGGAGTTCAAGACCAGCCTGACCAACACGGAGAAACCCCATCTGTACTATAAATACAAAATTAGCTGGGTATGGTGGCGCATGCCTGTAATCCCAGCTACTCGGGAGGCTGAGGCAGGAGAATTGCTTGAACCCAGGAGGCAGAGGTCGCTGTGAGCCAAGATCACACCATTTCACTCCAGCCTGGGCAAAAAGAGTGAAACTCTGTCTCAAAAAAAAAAAAAAAAAAAAAAAAAAAGAGCATTTGGAGCTTCACTGGACAAGCACAACCAGCTCAGTGGATTTCTGGCAATACCAAGAACATTTTGAGAATCATGCCTGTGCTTTAACCACAGATGAGATTTTAGCTAGTGTCTTAAGGGAAGAACAAAATTATGAGCAAATTCAAACATCATCTTTTGGTTTAGCCTGATGGTTTCTATGACCAACCGTATGTTTATTTATGAAAGAATTTATATTATTTAATTAAAACAAAATAGAAATGAGGGTATATGGTATCACAATCATGTTCATTATTAGTTTTGTGTCTTGCTGTAGAAATACATTTAGTGGGAGCTTCCCTATCATTGGAGTCGAATCTACCTCCACCTTAATTAGTTCTTGGGCTCAATTTCTGACCACACAACCTCACAACATAAAATGTAGTTTTGGTTACTTAGATTAGTGTAGGCCAGGAAACATTGGTGCAAGAAGAAAAAATAAAATAAGAAATCCCTAGGATCAATAAGATATCGTCTGCTACCTCATTTTTTTCCCTAAAATATTCATGCTTTAGGAATGAATTTCATTATTTGAATACATACATATATGTATAAGCAGTCGGCACCTTGTATCCACGGGTTCCACATTCTTGATTTCAAGCAACTGAGGATCAAAAATATTTTGAAAGCCCAATACAAATAACAATACTACAATAAAAAGTAATACAAATATATATAATACAGTATAATGACTATTTACATAGCATTTACATTGTATTAGGTATTATAAGTAATCTAGAAATAATTTAAAATATACAGGAGAAGGTGTGTAGACTATATGTAAATACGATGTATCATTTTATATAAGGGACTTGAGCATCTAAGGATTTTGGTATTACGGGGGTGCTAGAACCAATCCCTTAAAGATACCAAGGGAGGACTGAATATAAATATACATATATATAGCAGATACATAAATAAAATGAGGATTCATATATTGAAATTCTATGGAGTTCTGCATAATTCATAACTCATTTTTACTTATCAAACTATAATCTATAGCTTTATGTATTAACTGAGTATTAATTCTGCTAAATATCAAATTTTTCATATGAATGTACACCATCATTAGAGATGCAAAGACTTAGAAAGGAAATGAAAAGAAAAAAATAAAATATATTTGTGTGGGGGAATGGTGTAATGAAAAAAATATATTTCCCCGCATCTTTCCTGAGAACTTTTTCAATTTTTTTTTTTTTTTTCTGAGACAAGGGCTCAGTCTGTTTCCCAGTCTGGAATGCAGTGGTGTGAACACAACAAGGCAGCCATGACATCCTGGGCTCAAGCAATCCTTCCATCTCAACCTCCCAAGTACCTAGGACCACAAGTGCACGCCACCTGGCCAGTTTTTTAATTTTTTTGTAGAGATGGGTCTCGGTATGTTTCCCAGGCTGGTCTCAAACTCCTGGGCTAAGTGATTCTCCCACCTCAGCCTCACACAGTACTGGGATTACAGATGTGAGCCACCATGCGTGGTCCCTGACTTTTTCAATTTTGCTTTCTAATCTTAGAGGAGAAAACAAACAAAATTAAAGAGAAATGTAAGCAAGATTATCAATAGTTTATACCTTCTTATTAGCTAAAATGGCACCATCACCAGATGAACATCTCTGTCTAATAAATATTGACATGAGTTTGACAGATCCATTAGGCTCAGTTCCACTTTAATCCTAAGTTTTCCCATATATTCATACATACACATACTTTGTACATCATTTTATACAATGTGTATGTATGTGATATGGTTTGGCTGTGTCCCCATCCAAATCTTCATCTTGAATTGTAGCTCTCATAATTCCCACATGTTGTGGGAGTGATCCAGTGGGAGATATTTGAATCATGGGGGTGGTTTCCCTCATACTGTTCTCGTGGTACTTAATGTTTCATGAGATCTGATGGTTTTATAAGGGGTTTCCCTTTTGCTCAGCCCTCATTCTCTCTTGCCTACTGCCATGAAAGACGTGCCTTTCTCCTTACAACATGATTGTGAGGCCTCCCCAGCACATGGAACTGTGAGTCCATTAAACCTCTTTTTCTTTATAAATTACCCAGACATAAAGGTATGTCTTTATCAGCAGCATGAAAATGGACAAATACAATATGATATGTGTATATATTCATATATAGCAGGTACATACACACACACATACACACACACAAACACATACACATACACTTGACTTAGGGCCCCTAAACTATATATAAACTTGTCTATTTATTCAGTCCTCTTACATAGTCCTCCTGAGAGCAAGTGAAGATAATGTCCCATGTGTTCAAAGTGCCTTGTATATTAAATCATAAAGGGAAAAGGGGCCTGCATATATCATTCAGAATGAATCTATATTTATTCAGTTTGTGAATAAGGTAGACAGACTCTCCCTTGATTATCTGAAATGTGAAGGCAGATTGATCTTCAGCAAGTGACTTGCATTTTGGAAAATATCAAACAACATTTCAATCTAACCTTACTTTCCTTCAGAAATATATGTAAGGGAAACATCGTGTCTTTGATGCCCACTGTGATAACAACATAAGTAACTAATTCTATTATTTGCAGTTTTATAATCTTTAATAATTGTGACAGTATATTCAAGAACGTGTCTAAAGATGTTGAACACCTTAACTTTGTTTCTAAAAGAAAAAATGCATGATGATTGGCCTAAAAGTGCTCAATGATTCTCTTCGTCTTGGAACTTGAATAGCAAAAAGTAATTCAGAATCAACTCTGTTGCCACTTAAATAACTTCTCTAAGATTTTTCTAGGAAAATGGAAGATTTCCCAAAGTGAAGATTTTTGCCTTGTCAATCAATATCCATTAGCAATTTCACTACGTGTACAAATTTAATTACTAAAAAGCAAAGTCATTACCCTTGATATGTAGGACATAAGGTTTAAATGCCATATATTTTTATATTACAGATTGTTCAAATTTCATGCTTATAGCATATGTTCACTGTATCTTTGGTGACTTTCTGCCTGAATTAGAATTTTTTATTGTTTAAAGCTTTGAAGTAGGCTTAATTTAGGACTATAGTGACGACAACATCAAAAGGAGGTTACTTCTAGATGAGAAACTCAATAAAAATTACAGTATGAGAGAGAAATGCAAATTCCTTCCTTTGGGATGTGCCATAGTAGCCCCAGAATGAAATATTATCATTTTATTAAATATACGTTAAAAGATATATCTTATTCAGGGGTACCTACCTCTAAACAACAAACTAGAACATTGTGAAGAACATTTGAAAAGTATTTTTGGAGAAAAAAACATAATATTAGGAATAGAATTCTAAGGACATGTGGTACAAAATGTCACAAAAGTAACCAAAGAAGAAAAGAGCAGGTAAGGAGACAAAGAGAGGATATGAAATGCAGAAAAAGCCTGAAAATTAGTGAGCAATGGAAGAGTAAATGCATTAGCTTTGTTGAAACACTAATGACAACCTAGATATTTTTGTGCTGGAAATTTCACCACAGCTGGGGATTGGGGGTTAGGGGATAGGAGGACTTGGATTTGGGATTTGGACTTGCATTTTTATTAGCTGAAATCTCTACAGAATTCACTTGTTGCCCCATGTTCTTCAGTTGATAATGCATATATTACCATGCATACTGCAATGAAGGGCCTTTGTTCTTGGATATATCTTTAATGTAATTTAAATATTGATAATAATATGTGTGTTTGTGGAGTGACATCATAAACATTCAAATTAAAGAGGGATGTTCATGTTTTTCTAAACCTCTAGATATTAGAAATTAATACTTTACTTATTTCAAAATATTCTCCAAGTAAATAAAAAGCACTACAGTTGTTGTTGTTTTTCCCCAAAGACAGAAGGTATTCATGATGGCATAGAATATTGTCCTAGTGAATTATGTTGTTAAAATCCAACTGTCCTAAACACTGAAGTACTAGAGGCTAGGATAATTGGAAAGTATGATCATCCAATTGGCAGACAGCCTAGTAGTGGACATGATAGAGCAGTTAAATGTCTCACATTGTCCTAGTGTATAAAATGAGGGAGAAATAAGATATTTTTCTACACCCTGATTTTTTGTGTATTCCTTTAGGAAAAGAGAACAAGTGGGCTTGTCCTCATATATACCTGTATATCCTCAAAGATAGAGATAAACAGTTAAATCTGAATAACACCTGCATATCATAGGGCATAAGAATACTTTTAAGCAAGAGGTTATGGCTCAAAATCAAATCTCTATTTCTAATATCTAAAGAAACAGATTCTGCAATGATAAGTAACCTATCTCTACTCATTTTATAAAATAATTCAAATGGTTTGCAAAGAAAAGTCATGATAAAATGCTGTTGTCCATTTTTTTTTCAGTTATTTAAACCAGTGTATGGGATGTCAACAAAACAACCATGCTAGATATTATTATTTTTTAATTTAATGGTTTATACACACACACACACACACACACACACACACACATATTACTTTTTTGTGTGGTGCTGGATATTTTTAAATAGCAAAATATAAATAGGTAAAAAGGAATGAAGCTTTATGAATAAAAAATTCATATATAATTTGTGTTTAATGAAAACAGTTAGATTTAGGACTAAAAAGAAGTCATGAGTTTCAGTAAATGCATATTAAATTTGTATCTTGTAATAACCAAATTAAATGAGAAATGTGGACATTTAAATATGTATAATACCCAAATGACACTTTAAAATGTTTGGAGAGTTCATCTCTTGCGTATCACTTTATATTCTATATATTTGTGTTACAAATGATGATACACTGGAAAATTGAGTCACTTTCCGTGATGAGTCTGAGCATGTTCTATGCCTCTTTTCTGCTCCACTAGACATTTGTCATTCTTGGTGGCAAATCTGTAACTAATTTTCTCAGGCTACTGCTTTTCATACAGATAAATTCCTGAAAAAATAGCAGTAGAAGGGCTGAGCATGCATAGATGAATCTCAAGAGGGAACAGTGATTAGGTATAAAATCATAGGAGACATTTGTGCCTATTCACTTTTTACTAGGCAAAATATATGCCAAGAATAAAGGTAATTTCCTTAGGGAATTCTTACCACTACTCTGGAACCCTGTTGTCCATACGTTAAATAATCTATTTAAATACGGTCTGGTTCACACTGATGTAGTAATAAATTTCTTCTATAGTTCAAGCTGTAGATAAAACTATCTCATAATTAATATAGTTTTCTCTCTGAAATGGTTACATGATTTAAAATGTGCAAATTATGCTAAAAGGGAAAAGCAATGAAATAATATTTATGTATCAAAATACATTCTCGAGTATATTCCTCTTCTCACTTTTCAGCATGTGAGGATGAAAACGTACCCTCTCACCACACAATAGTCACATTTCTCTATATACACCTTGTAACAGTCTGTTCCCGCATTGCTGTGAAGAAATACCTGAGACTGGGTAATACATAATGAAAAGAGATGTAATTGGCTCAGCATTCTCCAGGTTGTATAAGAAGCATAGTGGCTTCTGGGGAGGCGTCAGGAAACTTTCAATTATGGCAGAAGGTGAAGCAGGCACCTCTGACATGGCCATAGGAGGAGGAAGAGAGTGAGGGGTGGGGTGCCACACACTTTCAAACAACCAGATCTTGCAATAACTCAATCAGTCACAATTACTACAACAACATTAAGGAGGATGGTGGTAAACCATGAGAAACTGCCCCCATCATCCAATCACCTCCTACCAGGCCCCACCTCCAACACTGGGGATTACAACTGGACATGAGATTTGGGCAAGGACACAGATCCAAACCACATCTCTGTGAAAGGAAAATATCTTGGAACCCTGAAATCACTCAGCGAAAGGGAAATGTCAAGCTGGGAACTGCTTAGGGCAAATCTGCCTCCTATTCAAAGTTACCCCTTAGCTCATTGAGACAAATGCCTATCTGATTGTTTCCTTTGGAGAGGTTAATCAGAAACTCAAAATAATGCAAACGTTTGTCTCATATCTACATATGACCTGGAAGCTCTCTCCCCTGGAGTCATCCTGCTTTTGCTTCGAGTTGTCTTGCCTTTCCAACCGATCTAATGTTCATCTTACATGTGTTAATTGGTATCTCATGTCTCCCTAAAATGTACTAAACCAAGCTGTGCTTTGACTACGTTGGGAACATGTTTTGAGGACCTCCTGAGGCTGTTATGGGCGTGTGTCCTCAACCTTGGCAACATAAACTTTCTAAAATAACTAAGACTTGTCTCAAATTTTCAGAGTTCACATCACACAGAGATCACTACTATATACATTTGTGTTCCTTAGAGTAAGGCTGGTGTCTTCAGTGTATTACCTTGTAAAGTTCTGAAAGATATAAATTGCAGTTCCTTGCCTGCTGAGATATTGGGCAATTATACAACCACATCAAACTACCTAGATTTGAGAATGAGGACTAAGCTCTAACTTTTTATCTTGCCCAAATTCCTATCTAAGGGGTCTGGGGAGTCACTCACACCCTACAAACCATAAATTCCATCAAATGGGGTTTATTTAACCTTGTATATCGTGGCTTACTTTCCAATCTGACTCGGGAATAACAAGGAAGAAATTAAAAATATTTTACCCCAAAATATATTTCCTTGCCATATCTTGAAATGGCCCTGCAGAGCCATCCTTTGTGGGGAAAATCCGCATTATATAGAGAATCTTCTTTCCTCTTTGTCTTCCTTCCTTCCTTTCCAGAACCAGGACATAATCAACTAAGAGCCAGGCACTCTTTTAGGTCTTATTGTAAAATAGGAAACATTTTACAACCTGCTCTCTCTGAAGTCCGCTATCTGAGAGCTTCCTCTGCACAATAAAACTTGGTCTCCACAATCCTTTATCTTAACCTAAGCATTTCCTTTCTATTGATCCCAGGCCTTCAGATAAACTCAGCCAATTGTCAACCAGAAAATGTTTCAATTTACCAATAGCCTGGAAGCCCCCACTTTGAGTTGTCCCACCTTTCTGAACCAAGCCAATGTATTTCTTAAATGTATTTGATTAATGTCCCATGTCTTCCTAAAATATATAAAACCAAGCTGTGCCCCGACCACCTTGGGCACATGTTCTCAGGACCTCCTGAGAGCTGTGTCACGGGCCATGGCCACTGATATTTGGCTCAGAATAAATCTCTTCAAATATTTTAGAGAGTTTGACTCTTTTGGTAGACAAGAATAATTACATATAGAGTTGAAAAATGCAAAGATAGGCATGTCTGACCACAGAGAAGACAGGAAGTCTGACAACAAATCCATACTGGCAGTCAAATCTGGGAATTTAAATGGAATATGCAAACAGTTGTTAGAATGTACTTCACAGCCTTCTGTTATCATTGTATTAGGTTGGTTCAAAAGTAATAGTTGGATACATAACTCTGCAGTCTTCTAAACTGACTTCCTGTTTTAAGAACTATAAATCATAAAAGAAAGGAAGAAAGAAAATCTCACTAAAGCATTGCTACTTATGTTAATATGATAGCAACTCAATTTATTCAAGTGCTGATCAATGCTAAACAATCAGAGTGGTTCATGAATTATGTATTACAAAAGAGCCTGGTGCTTTTTAGTGGAATGTCACAAGGTTAACCAACTGGTATACATGGATTCCCTTAGGCAGAATTTTAGCTGTAGTGCTTACTGCTCCAGTTGATGGAAGAATGGCAAAATAGAGTTTTGTTTGAAACACATAATGAACTGCTCTCATGAACTTCAACCTTCAAAAGTCATTATACATGAGAGTTTGATGCTGCAGACAATTACTGGATCTCCATTTGTCTGTCAATATCATTTCTTGTTGCTTTATAACTTAACCATATCTCAGAGATTATTGACAGCACAATTGTCATAGATTGCTCTGTTTATACAAATGCATTAGCAATTAAAACAACTTGTTATGCGTATTTCCTACTTAAGGGTTCTCTAGCCTGTTTCAAGTCTGTCTCTGTTTGTTAGAAATGCTTGCTTCTGTAAAACCTGAAGGCCTAGCCTCCACTTTCCCATATATGCCTCCTTCACGTAACTATTTCTCTAGTTTCCATTTTTTATTAAAATTCATGTCATTTTAAAATTGAGGGCAATTCCATTTGAAGCTAAAGTTGGAGTATTGATGAATCAAAACTGGCATTTTCCTAAGAGTTTCTAAGATGCAGGAATCTGTCTATACTACTAATGAGGTTATAAATTTAAACAATCAACTAACTCTAAGATCTTTTGGAACCCACTTTTACAAGAGATTTCTATCATTCTGCTCTAGTTATTAAAAATCTTGCTATTATGCAGAACTCTTAAAAATTTCATTATCATTAGCCTATCATGCCCTCAATAAAAAGATGGCACTGTATCTGATAGCATCAATTCTATGTAAAGCTCTTTTCACATGCAACAGTGTATCTTGACGTTTCCAACAGTTACAACTCTTAGCAATGCCACACAATCATAATTCCTCATGAACGGAATCTATTATTTCAAAATGTAGTTCAAAATGTAGACTGTAGAAAAGTTAAATGAAGTAGGTATTCGATTACACCAATATTAAATAAAATAAGGATGATCATCTTGAGGAAAAATGGGACCACATTGCAAAAGATTTATTGCAATGTTATTAAAATACTGAATCAGCCTCTGAGCAGTCTGTCAATTTATTTAATCAAACCTCACATCACCTGCTGCAATGGAGATTTCCTTCTAAACAAGCAGAAAAGGTTTAAAAACCAATTTACTGCCAGGCACGATGGCTCATGCCTGTAATCCCAGCACTTTGGGAGGCCGAGGAGGGTGGATCACCTGAGGTCAGGAGTTTGAGACCAGCCTGACCAATATGATGAAACCCTGTCTCTACTAAAAATACAAAAATTAGCCAGGCATGGTGGCATGTGCCTGTAATCCCAGCTACTTGGGAGGCTGAGACAGGAGAATCGTTTGAACCCGGGAGGAGGAGGTTGCAGTGAGCCAAGATTGTGCCATTGCACTCCAGCCTGGGCAACAAGAGTGAAACTCCATCTCAAAAAGAAAATAAAGGAAAAAATAATTTACTTATGGTAGTTATGTCCCCATTCTCCTAAAGGAATGTAGAATGTGGGTTTTTATTTTATTTCAGATATTCCCCTCCCATAAAGCTAATTTCAAGAGACCATGAGAGATTTATTTATAAATTCAATGAAACTAATAGCATATAATTATATATGACTATGTGAGCAATAATGATTTAACATCTACACAGATTAGACTGTTCCGAAATCAAATTGTTATATTTAGATTGGTCATTATTTGGGAAGACTCTCTGTCCTCAGTTTTAATGAATGGATATCATCATTCTCTTTATGTTAAAACATGTGTCTTCTATATTATATGTATAGTTATATCACAACTTATAATTGTCTTGCAAATGTTTTATAGTCAAGGTGTAAAATTAGAAAATCAGAATGTTTATGCTTCTTCTGAACATTAGGTATAACATACCTGTAAATATTTGAAATAATTATTGTATACTGCCCAGTAACAGGAAATTGACTTCAGATTCACAGATGAGATGTTTCTACATCCCAAGAACAATTTCATTCTCCATTCCTCCCTAGAGTTAAACAACTTATCTTAGGTTTTGTTTTGTTTTGTTTTGGTAATTTCTTCTTTTCTGCTACCTGAGTATAACAACGTGAAATATTAAGAAATAATATATGAATGTTTTACCTTTAAGATGGTAGTATTTTGTAGGACACTACAATAGTCTCCAAAACCAGTGGATATGCCAAACAATAAATTTTTCTAAGGCAGTAGAAGGAAAGAAAAACCAATTCTTGGAGAAATAAAATGACCTAAAAGGTTATTGGGGGATTTTGTATTCATTCCACAGAAAGAAACGTACTTTACAGTAGGGAGATCCCTATTTGGGCGTTCTTATTTGAATCTGTATTTCCCAGATGTGTGTTGGCTCCTCCAATCAAAACTTGCTGATAAATCAGAAGTGTTTTTGAGCTTTGGAGCATAATTTTGATGAATTGTAATAAGCAAAAGTAATTTCTCTTCTTACAACCCATTTCCTACTTATTGAAAATGAGAATTATCAGATAATTCAAGGACCAACTAAATGAACAGACATATAGATGAGTTCCTAATGATTTCCCAGGACATGGATACATGGATCAAAGCATTAAAAAAGAGAATTCCTTAAAGGAAAAAAAAAATCTAATACTTTATCTAAAACAGTGACATAATTATTGTTATGGTGTGTTTATTTTTATTTGTTAACAAAAATGAGAATAAACTGCTACAGCTATTAAAGCAATTGAAAAAATATTCAAGAGCAAAAATGTGTTGCTCAGAGTTATATAACCTAAAGATCCTATCACTGTAAATTTATTAAATCTATATAATCTCTTCATTTTAAATGCAATTTTTATAATGATTACATATTTCCCTACTTAATTCTACTGGATATAGCTGTAATAACTTTAATTTCCAAGAATGTAGTATAACTGGAAGTCTCACACTCAAAATAATTGGGACTTTAAGATAACGAAAGTGATCAAGGCCTTATATGCAGTTAAATTGCTTATATATATTTCTTATATATATTTCTTATATATATTTCTTATATATATTTCTTATATATATTTCTTATATATATATCTTATATATATAAGAAATATATATCTTATATAAATATATAAGCAATTTTCAAACTAAGTAAAATCAGCATTTTTTAACTCAGATTAATCATTCAGCATAACTCATTATTTGCCATTACGAGTACATATTTGGAGGGCAAAGTGATATCCGACATGATATAAAATGAATTCCATTTTTAGCTTGCTGGGTCATAATTTCAACATTAAATGATAAAGGGAAAGTTAAGCATTTGAAAACGATTATCATGATTTGATTAGATATGAATTACGTACAAACCTGTCTGTGTGTGGAGGAAAAGTTAAATATTAAAATTAAACTCAACTGGACACAGACAATGGTCACCAAGTCCCAAAACAGGTTGAGTGAGCCCCTTGAGGCATTCATCCAGCACTGTTTCGGAGATATCGCTCTCTCAATCTGTTCTTGTATATTAGTTATTGAAAGACAACAGAATAGCAAAAAACAAGTTGACCTTTTTGTGTTCCTTGAGCCCAGTCGTGAAGGGTCCTTGTGACTGGGCCTCATGCCAAACAACTTACAAAAAGAACTAGGAGCCAGGCACGGTGGCTCACGCCTGTAATCCCAGCACTTTGGGAGGCCAAGGCACGATCACCTTAGATAGGGAGTTCAAGACCAGCCTGACCAACATGCAGAAACCCCGCCACTACTAAAAAATACAAAATTAGCCAGGCGTGGTGGTGCCTGCCTGTAATCCCAGCTACTCAGGAGGCTGAGGCAAGAGAATCACTTAAAACTGGGAGGCAGAGGTTGTGGTGAGCTGAGATCGTGCCATTGCACTCCAGCTTGTACAACAAGAGGGAAACTCCATCTCAAAAAAATAAACAAATAAAAAAGAGCTAGGGTCCCAGACCACCCAGACCACCCTAAAGCTTCATGAGACCTCTCCTCATCTGTGCTGAACAGGTGACCAACCATGGAGCTCAGGCTGTTGCTTCCCAGTCTGGTGATGCTTCCTCCACAGTCTGGTGAGTATATATATATATATGTGTGTGTATATATATATATGTGTGTGTGTGTGTGTATATATATATATATATATATATATATCTTTTCTCTTTTCCCCTTCCAATTGCAATTTGCTTATTATGTCATTTGTTTATTATATGATTTGCTTATTATATCTGTATTGCCATATACTTGGGATAAAGGCTGTTTACCCTTAAAAGTATTGTGTGTGCCTTTTCGTCTCCCCTCATGTGTCTCCCACACAGAACACTGTCAAAAAATATGCTTAATATAGTAAAATAAAGACATCTGTGTCATTGTCTTTCTCATCAAAAAAAGTTTTGTATTTTTAAGTGCAATAAAATATGAAATACAAGGGTGTATGTCCTCTATTGCACAAAACCATAAACTTTATGGAACTTATATCTATTCTTTATTTAGCAGTTTGCTTAGATAACCTGTGCTATACATTTTACTTCTTTGAGGTACAGATAGTTTTTTTATCTTCAATAGACAAACTTTTCATAAACACTATCAATTAGGCAGTTATTACCATTTCTGCAGCCCAAAGAATATTCCACTTCAAAGACGTGAGGAGAAGTGGAGTCTCTAATTAAGGGTCAATGTTCTGGATTTAACTGTTTATAACCATGCATATTTAATGTTAATATGCAGGTTATTCACAATGTTTGTAATTTCATATCAATATTTAATATGCAATTCCTGAAATGATATATCTTTATTATATTTTTATTTTATTTTTATTATTATTTTAAACAATATTTTTAATCAGTTATACCATAAGAAACAAGAAAGTCAAATGTATTGGTATTAAGTAAACTTCAGTCAAAATCTTCCTTACTAAGTTTGGTATAAAAGAGGGGTTTTCAACAAAAATTTAAGACAAGCTACATAAGTAATTTCTGGTAGCCACAGTAAAAGTAAAAGCCAAAACGATCAGGTGAAATTATCTGTTTTATTTAATCCAATATGCCTAAAATATTCAAATTTCAACATGCAACCAATGTGAATATTAATGTTTTATCAATGAGCTATTTTACATTGTCTTTTTCATAGTAAGTGATCAAAATCTGGTATGTATTATATACTTACGGCATATCTTAATTCAGACTAGTCATGTGTCAGGTGCTTTAAAGTCACACATAGCTACTAGTTACTGTACTAGACAGCATAGGCATAGAATATGTCTGCAATGGTGTTTTACTTTTGATAGATGTAAGTGCATAAAACCCATGAAGTTCCAGCTCTGTGATATTTTTGTTTTCCTTTCTTTCTTGCATAGGTGTTATTTGGGAAGAAAAAAAATGTTCTAACCATAACTTAACATTTTTTCTTTAGTCTTTGAAGTCTCAATATGCCAGATGGTAGAATTTCTTTGGACATTTTTTTTTTTTTTTGCTTCTATAATATGACGGTGGGGGTTGTAAAAGCTTTAGCATAGCTGAGCACATACTGTTCAGTAATGGCAGAATTCCAGGGTGAAAAAACACAGGCAGCCATGGCATGTGGGTGGCTTTTTTTTTTTTTTTTTTTTGCAACCAAATTAAGAAAAGACTTTTAGGGAATGAATTTCTAACATAAGAAGAGTCAAACAGGGAGGTTTAAATCGAGTAGTCAGGACCCAATGAAAGGTTAATTTTGTTAAATTAAATAAGCAGGAGCCTATTGGATTGAGGCTGTTTCCGTACTTTGAATTCCTACCAAACAAACCACAAACTACAACCTCTTTTAGTATATAAACCAACCGAAACCCAATTTAGATGTATATTTTGTAACAAAGAGCGAAGTTTCAGCCAATCACAAGACACTGAGCTTCAGTCAATCACAAGCAGCAAACTGATCAGACCATGCCAAATGAGGCAGTCATCTAGCTCTAGCCAATCAGGTGATTACTCTGCTTTTGTATTCAGACTATAAGAGCTCACTGTCCACACTACTATGCAGAGTTCTCTGAACCTGTTCTGGTTCTGAGTGCCGCCTCATTCATGAACTTGCTGAAATGAACTACTAAATTTAATTTGTCTAAAGTTATTTTTTTTTCCAACAGTTTTAAGTCTAACCAATTAGAGCTACATGTAACAAATCATATTTCTCTTATATCAATAAAGAAGCCTGTGATGAAATGAATAATTGACTCAGACTGTATTAATGAAAGTAGCCTAAGATCATTTACAATCATAACTAAAATTATATCCAGTGATGTCACATTGTATAATAATCACTCTTTAAAAAGCTCTCTAACATTAAGAGGTAGCCCAACCCTCTAAAGGTCAAGAGGTAGTCTAACACTGGTAGTCCAACCAAGTGCTTGTGATCCTCTAGAGGAGCAAGTACTACATGCTAGCTGCACTCTCAGAGTTTTTGTAGAAGTGTAATAAAATCTTTCTCAATATTATGTGTAAATTATTTAAGTAAACTTTTTTGATCTTTAGGAAGTGTTAGTTAAAATTAGACTATTTCTTTTTTTTTTTTTTTGAGACTGTGTTTCAGTCTTGTTGGCTAGGATGGAGTGCAATAGTGCGATCTTGGCTCACCGCAACCTCTGCTTCCCTGGTTCAAGCGATTCTCCTGCCTCAGTCTCCCTAGTAGCAGGGATTACAGGCATGCGCCAGCACACCCAGCTAATTTTGTATTTTTAGTAGAGACCGGGTTTCTCCATGTTGGTCAGGCTGGTCTTAAACTCCCAACCTCAGTTGATTCATTCTCTTCAGCCTCCCAAAGTGCTGGGATTACAGGCGTTAGCCACTGCACCCGGCCCGAACTCTTCCAAATTTTCAAAAACTAGACTATTACTAAAACGGTGAGCTTAACAAAAATGGTCTAGTAACGTGCATAAATAAAGTAAGCTATTCAGTTGGTAGCTTCTTGATCAAATGTTGTTGTTGTTGTTGTTTTTGACGGAGTCTTGCTCTGTTGCCCAGGCTGAAGTGCAGTGGTGCAATCTCGGCTCACTGCTGCAACCTCTGCCTCCCAGGTTCAAGCAGTTCTCTTGCCTCAGCCTCCAGAGTAGCTGGGATTACAGGCATGCACCACCACACCCGGCTAATTTTTGTATTTTTAGTAGAGACGGATTTTACCATGTTGGTCAGGCTGGTCTCGAACTCCTGACCTCATGATCCCCCGCCTCAGCCTCCCAAAGTGCTGGGATTACAGACGAGAGCCACCGTGCCTGGCTCTAAGATGCTTTTTATAGAGTTATAGTTATCATATATCCAGATTTTAAAATTATTCATTAAGTAAAACAAAATTTAATTTGGGTCTTGAGAAGGACAACTTGAGTTTGATATCATGTTTAACACAACCCAAAATGATGGTAAAACACATTTTTAGAGGTCTTTTGAACTTTGTTAATGCAGCTTTAAGAAACAGTGCTGTGTAAAGAAACTGTATATTTAAAATATGTAGTTTTTTACTTTGCAGTTTACATGACTATTTGAAAATTCCCCTCATATTTAAAATAAAGTGCTATAATTTTTTCTGTAGTCTAAAAAATGCAGAGAAAGTTCTCAAAGTCATAAATTCCTTAAAGTTGTAATTTTGTAGTTCACTCCAATTTATTTCTTGGGTTTATGTTGTATTGTTTTTAAGGAAGCACACATCTTAAGTTTTAGGTGCAGCATTCAAGGTGGAAATGCTCTTCTCTTAACCAGTAGGGTGAGCCAAGATACCATTACTGTAGGATTTTCATGTGACACAGTGTCAGCCCTTAGTAAAATTCAAAAATAAATAAAATAGTAAGCTAAAGTATTGTGTGCCTTACATAAATTTCTGGTGACTCTTGCTTGCTCTGACACAGTTCCATCCAACCATATATTTCCTAGATAAATGTATTATTTCTGACAAGATACTCATTTCTAATCTTACAATATTACAGGGTTAACTGTGATGATTCACAGTGTTAATAGGATCTAGGCTGTCAACCATAACTAGGGGTCTGTCATCTAAGCACTGCTGTGGTTTTGACAGAATAAACATGGCAGGCTCAAATTCATCACACATCAAAGTTTACAGACTCACAGTTACATATTTTGAATATATTATAAAATTCTACTGCATCTTCTATCAATCCTGCAATAATTGTGTTACTTAAATTTAAATATTTGTAGAATTAATACTTATTTTTTTAAGGTGAATGAAGCAACAGTTGGAAAGCCAAGAGAAGCCACTTGTTGTGAAAATATGTTTTTTCCAGCTATTTTCAACCTGAAATTGATAGTACATGCCATCATGTTAATGCTTCTGTAATTATTAACAAACTTAATGAAATTTGCTATACTGTTCCAAAGCATTTCATATTTAAGTTTTAAATAAGAATACATATTTTTGTAGGCTCTTAGTCATGTACTAGCTTTCACATGCAGTCAAATGACTCCAATTCAAGTCATCTGCCCATTTGCCTTAAGCATCTCTGATACTTCTTTGCTTCTTAATAAAGCACATTGGTCATCCTATTAGTATGATTTAAAAGGTTTTTAATTTAATACAACTATCCCATCTTATCACACATTTTTAAATACTCCGTATTATCCTTGTGACAACAAGAGCAAAACCTATCACACTATTCACTTCATTTCGGTGACATTCAGACAAATGATTTCAGATGTCAATGTGTACTTCAGCAATTTACTAGTTATGTCAAAGAAATATGGTAGCCTTCTGGAAAGTGATGGTTTAATCTGTTGAAGAAATTATAAGATCTCAAAGTCTAGGTGAGCATATATGCAAATTTATGCTTCATATAGAAGTATTCTTATCTGTAAACTAAAACCTTTATTTAGTGTTTAAAACCTATTCAATTTTATTTCTCTCTACATCCCAACTCCTTAAGTGCATAAGAGTTAGACTGTGGTGTCAGGTAGGCCTGGGTTTCAGTCTTGGCTTTGCCACATAATGGATTTGTGACATCACTGAAAAAATTGTTAAACTATTCTAAGTCTCAGTTTCCCCATTAGTGAAACAAAGATAATAAACTGTACCTACCCCAGAGTATTGTTGTAAAGATAAATTGAAATAAATGATGTAAGGTACTCAGCCCATTGGGTACTTTAATTTTCTGTAATAAAGCCATTCCATTCAGTATTTATAAAACAACATATTTTTGGTCTATTTTGCTATTATTCTAGCCACTGCTGCAAATTAAATAACCATCATATAATCATCATGCCTTGAGATCAAATCAAGTTCTCACTTCTGCTATGAAACCAATATTGAGTTATGTGTGCATATATGTGTATGTTTGTATGTGTGTGTGTGTGTGTGTGTGTGTGTTATTGGCTCAGCCAAAGTTGTATTTTATTGTGCTATTCTCTAGTTTCCAGTACCTTATTTATTAGTGCCTAATTGTATATTACATAATACTAATGATGATGTGTCCATGTGCATTTCATCTTCCCAATTAAGCTTCAAGTTATTAGTGAAATTGGAATGAGTCATAGATCTCATTGTAGCCTACAATGATTAGCCACATAGTAAGTGCTTAATTGATCAACAGGAGATGAATTATGTAATTGCTACTACTTCCTATCCCTATCTCACTCCTCATATGTCCTTGTCATATGAATTCCCCTCAATGGAAAATGTGTTCTGGGGAGGGAAACATGTACAGCTGTGCATGAGACACATGTTTTCATTTTGGAGTCAGATCTCTCTCAAGTTTCCTGAAAGGTATTCAAGCAGGGGCAGAGCTAGGTTTTCTGTGCCCTGAAAATTATTTAATATGAGGGGGACTCTTTAGTATCTTACTATTATTATTTTACTAATATCATTTTTGCAATTTTACAAAATCATGTGACCCATGTGATACATTGGTAGATCCAACTCTCTCTGGAGCTTGAAATATGTGGTGTGGATTTTATTAGTATTGAATGAATTCAAAACACACTGCTCCAAAGTATGCCACTTTGTGCTAAGAATTATTTTGAACTAAAGAAACTTGAAAAATAATAGGTGCATGATCGGTCTGACTTTCATTCTGTTTCTTAAAAGGAAGATATGAAATTTCCATGTGAAAGATGTCTTCCCTATACTGGAAGGACATTTTTATCACCAAGAACAGGAAACTGAGACTGAGAAAAATCTGTACAAACAAACCTGGTTAAATTAACTTTATCTATCCAGTTACTTCTCCACCCAAATAACTAACCTAGCCAAAGCCGCTTTGCCTTGTCATATTTTCACAATTTATTACACTTTGTCCAATTCAGCATATAAATAACTCAGGGTCTTTGGGTCTTCATTTCTTTATGATGGCTCCTGTGCCACATAAAACTTGTATTGAAAAAACTTGTATCATTTTCTTCTGTTTATCTGTCTTACATGGGTATAATTCTCAGTCCCGAAGCCAAAAATCCCTAAGAAGGTAGGGGCAAAATTTTGCCTCTCCTACAGGATCAAGTTAAATCCTCTTCTATATCCAGCAGTTGCTCCTGGTAAAATTCCCAATTTGTGCTGTCATTTCCAGTCTTTTTTACCCCATGATCTCAAATGATATTGAAGGGCAAATCTTTTTAGCTAAGGTATTGTTCTCATTTGACTCTTTTTTAGTACCGGGTTAATTTTTATACATTCCGAGTAATACAACATCAACAACAGCAACAATTATCAACTTATGATTTGGAGACATCTGTATTTGTTTCCTATTGCTACTGTAACAAATTACTACAAACTTTGTCACTTAACACAAATTTCCTAGGTTACAGATCCAAAAGTCAGAAATCTGTAAGTCTCACTGGGATAAGATGAAAGTGTCAGCAGGGTGCATTCCTTTCTGGAGATTCTGGGAGATAATCTATTTCCCTCCCTTTTCTAGCTTCTACAGGTCAGCTACACTCTTGGAATCTTGGTCCTGTTATATCCTCAGAGCCAGCATGCTGGGCCAAGTCGTTGTTCACCTTCCTCTGCCTTCCTCTTCTACTTTGAAGAGTTCTTGAGATTATATTGGCCCATCAAGATAATGAAAATAATCTCCTTACTTTAAGGTCAACTGACTAGCAACCTTAATTATATCTGCAACTATAATCCTCCTTCACTTTGTAATCTAACACATTCATGGTTTCCACAGATGATGTGGACATCCTTGGGGAAGGGCATTATTCTGCCTACCACAACATCCTTTGGGAAATCGCTGAGCAACCGTTACCATCAATTCATGTAACAAGGTCATACCATAAATAATAATATTTCTGGGTCAGTGATTCATTCCTTTATTCAACAGATACAGTTGGCTATTGTTATTCGAAGTAGTCATGTTCTATGAAGTAGCTGTGAACTATGAATTAGCTAATTTACTAAAACATTGCTCCTAGGGGAAACATGTACATATGTACACATATCTCACATAGATTATCAAATTAAAGCCTAAAAAAACTTTTCCTGGTAGAATCTATTTTTTTTTTACTTTAGAAAAGAGAAAATGGCCTTCATAAGTTTTAAGTGACTTGCCTGAGGACACCCACTAACAGATATCAGAGGTGGGATTTAAATCCCATTCAAGGGGGTCTCAGTCAGAGCTTCTTGCACTACATTGCACTGTTTCCTGCCATCTCTATCTTCTGGTCATTTCTGTATTAGAGCTGGAACAGGGCAGAGCAGGGCCTTGCTGGAGCTCAGCTGGAAACCCGAGCATGAGGCACATCACATTTGTTGCTGCTCTGTCCATGTCTGTGAATGACTGAAAAGCTTCATGAATATTGATTGTGAGGTTACAAGTAAATTTTAGAGAGTAGCGGCATTTGCAAATACAGAATCCTCAAATAGTGAAAATCAACTCTATCTGTGAAGCACCCACTGTGTACAATGCACCATGCAGGCCTGCTGACACTGATTTTATCCCAGTGAGGCCCACTATAGATCTCCAACCTCCAGAACTGTAAATTTGTGTTGTTTTAAACCACTAAGTTTGTAGCCATTTATTACAAATGACTACATTTGTCATTTGCAACAGGAAGCAGATACAGATGTCTTCAAATCATAAGTTGATAATTTTTGCTGTTATTAATTTTCTGGGGAGAGAAGCAGATTCCTTGGGCTCTTATAACTTAGGGAATTGAACAATAAACAAGTATTATGATAAATGGATATTCATGACAATTCTATATAGGCATGTGTGAGAGAGTATGTGTGTGCATAGCAAATCATGAAACACCTACAATCAGATCAAGACCTCCAGAGAAATAAACATGCAAAAATACACTGAGTGACAATATCAACGAAGCAGCCATGTGATCCTATTTTCACTGACCTTGAAAATGTTCATTTTCTCATGCTATTCCTGGCAAGTAGGCTTAGAAAAAAAATGAGTAAGGCTTAACACAACTCTGAAGAATTAGCATAGTCAGCTGCTCAGCTGAGCAAAATTTTAATGTAAAGTACTGTTAATCGAGAGAGTGGTACCATGCTATACAAACAGTGTTGCTGCTCCTTTTTATAACTACCCTCATTCTGCCAAAAATCCTAAGAATCACTGATTAGCACTCTTAAAATGACTTGAAGATGTTATCCCTGCAAATATCATAAGCGTGTTTCAAGAAAACTTACCTAAATGAACAAAACTTGTATACACACATCTAATGTTGAGTTTCAAAAAGTAGAGCAAAAGTTGCCTAAAATGCATATATTCTCTGTAAAAGTAAAAAATGAAGAAGAAAAATGAAGAAAGATTTAAGCTTTCTGTACTATTGGGATTTAATTACATTAGATAAAACATTTTATAAATATTTTGCAACATGAGCAGTTCCTTTGGAATGTTTAAACTGAAATATTGTAAAGATGCCAAGTCTTCCAGTATCTTCATCTTAAAAGAAAAAAAAAAGCCCTGAAGTTCAACTTTCAATAAAGAGACAATTTTTTTTTATAACTGGTGATAACAGGTATGCAGAAGACGGCCACAATAGTTTTAATAGTCTATTGAGTCCACAGGGAAACACTACTCCATTTTGTTTCCAGGAACAAGCATAGGGCTAATAATAACAGTAATATTCTTTATGAAGCACTTATTTTCCCTACCGAGACACTCAAAATATGACAGTCTAAATCTGATCACAAATAACAACTTAACCTTTTTCATTACTATAATGAAAGATTTGTGAAATATTCATTTAAGTTTTGGGAGGTCAAAAATACTAATGGAAATAAAGGTATTTCTGAATTTGCCAAACTGGAAATATTTAGATCTGAGCTTTAGTTTAAGTTCCCTCAAGAAACTAGTCTAGGAATACTCCTATATGTTTCTTACTTTTAGAAGTTTATACACTATATAATTGAAGTGAGATTTGTGATGAGTTTGTTTGCAATTGATGTCTGTGCTTCCTTCCTTCCTTCCTTCCTTCCTTCCTTCCTTCCTTCCTTCCTCCCTTCCTTCCTTCTTTTTTGAAACATTTAATATAAGCAGATAACAGGAATGAGGCCTGCTGTACAAGCAATTATAAATGCCTTTATTCAAATATTTAAAATGATATTTTCAGTATTATATGGTTATATATTGTTGGAAGTAGCATGAAATAAATTTCATAATGTTGACTACTCTAATTCTACATTAAAGCAAACTGAAGTTCATGAAGTGGAAACAATTTTGCATATACTACATGGTCATTCAACAATAGAGTTAAAGCTAGGATTAATATTTCCTTACGTCTGCTCGGGTGTTCCTTCAGCTATACTGTGTTTTCCTCTATTCATGCAACAGGTATACACTGATTGCCTACTACTTTCCGGGTATCATGTGAAGGCTATGAAAAAAAAATCAGGTTACCTTCAAAGTTTACTGTGGTTGTGGGGCTGGCTTACCTCTTTGTCCTCAAAGTTAGTATAAACTCTGTGAAGGCCAATACCATTTTTGTCTTGCTCACCATTATTCCCTGGCACCTAGCACAATGCTTGGCCCATGATAGATGCTATACAGTTTTGTTGTACAAATGATGTGTATAAAAAGATGTATTAACAAAAGTAATGAAAGGCAATGTTCATTGAATGTCAGTGTTTTGGAACTCAGAAATTATTTCCAATATTTCAAGTGAAGAAGGCTTTGTTTATCAAATAAGTACATTCTTCACAAATGATTTTAACACATACTTCCAGCATGCTAGGTCTAAATTAGTGTTTAAGAGATCATTTGAATACACAAAGATTTTTTATGTATTTTTGGTGCCAGAAAATAAAAATTGAGAATCTAGAAATTTTGAATAAACCCAGCTGGGCAGAAGTCAATTTTATTGTATTTATGTATTCAACTCAGAATATTGTATTAACTGTCAGGAAACAAAAAAGCCAAATGCCATTAAAAATAAATGACTTAATTTGGATTTACTGAAATAACATAACTTAAAGATTTTACATATTTGATGAGGGTACCCTCAGTCCCACAAAAGCTATGGAATTTTGGTTATTTGTCCCTTTTGGTGTAATCATGCCTTTATGATTCTTATCCTGTCCCAACCCATTTAACACGTCTATTCTACATTGTGAGCATCAAAGTTTGATCTCAGTAAAACCCAACAGAGAAACTATTTAATCGATCACAGACCTTACTGGAAGGATTTCTGAACAAACTATAGCTGAGTCTTTTGCTTCCCTTTCTGGGTGATAAACATTGGCCTCTCACTACATTGCACTAGGAAGTTTGGCACATCTTCACTTGATCATAACAATTACAAAAAATTGCTGTGGTCTCTCATTGGTTTTCTCTCAGAGACATGCAAAATGTTATAAAAAGAATTCAAGTAAAATGATGCAAGACCTTTTTTAGAGACCATAAACCTGCTGTCATTGAAAGAATGTTTGGGCTAGCGGCTAACATATTTCCTTACACGGAATTTTTTCTCTTTATCTTTTACTACCAATTTCTCTGTCTCTCCCATGCCCACTCAGATAAATAATTGCAATCACAAGGAGAGTTCAGGCATCTCTTCCAATGCAATTAATTTTACCAAAGTCTTACTATACCTTCATTTCCTTATTAAGGCATGGCATACCAACAAGAAGTACCTTTCCACAGCCTCTAGGTATTATGCTTGATGTTTTTGTACACTACTGCCTAGTACAGTGGAAAGAAAACAAGTTATGGTCTGAAGTAAACATATTTGAGGCAGGATTTGTGCTTACTAAATGCATGTCTTGGGGAAATTGATCATAATAGAGCTCAATTTCCCCATGTGTAAAATGAAAAGGTGATAGTTATTCACACTGAATTTTTGTGAGGATTTAATCAGATTAAAAAGGTGATTGAAACTTGTTCAGTTCTTACGAGTAAATTTTGTGGATCTGGATAGTTTTTCTTTTAAAGAAGCAGAATGATTCTGAAATAGAAACTTTATTTAAGTCCAAGAAAACTAAAATACCCTTGAACAAACTGAAGATTGCTCACATAATTTGTAAAAAGTCATTAAAATAATACCTAGTCTGAGTCACTTTATGAAAGCTCATTTTGCTTCTTTGTTTCAATTCAACACACTGTATGCCACAAAGGTGAATATGATTTGTTCATTCAAATAAAAATCCCATACTAGGTATTTGCTCAGGGTAGGCATAGCTGAAATCAGTGTTTCTCAAAGCTAAGTTCAAAAGCCACCTGCATTCAAAGGTGCTGAGGTACCTGTTAACAACGTAGTTTCCTGAACTTTACTTCTGACCTGCCAAATTGCTGTTTCTAGCTGTGGAACCTTGAAATCAACATGCTTTCAAGAGCCTCAGATGAGTTTCCTGAACACTAAAAGTTTCAGAGACCCACTGACCTACGGAAATACCATGGCTGGTTATTATAGAATTCCAATAGAGGCCTCGTGAGATGCAGGTAGAAACCAGAAAAAGCATTTCAAGTATTTTTGAATCTAGAATCCAGTATTGCAAGAAGGAGAACACAATCCCTCTGTGTAATTACCACTAAGAATAAAAGTATCCCCATGCAAATATTGTGCAACTTTGTTTTGCTTCATTCCTTATATCAATTTTTACCTGTGAGCTCTATACCCATGGAGTGGTTAGTTACAGAGACAGGGCTTGGAAAGGCTGCTATTGTCGGTAAATTCTCTGTATGTGATATAGCACACACATTGCATTTAACCCCAGGATAGATAGAATTTTGAGCGATGGAATAATATTAAGAAAGGAAAACAAAAAAAAAGAAAAGTAATTTATCTAAATAGAGAAAATAAAATGACAATTTCAGCTGGAATTAACACTTTACAAATTAATAAATGATTCATTACTCATGAAATTAAATATTGGGTAAGAAAAATTCTCTAAGTGTATTATGTGAAAAAATATTGACTGTTAAAAAATGAAATGATCTGTTGCATTGTTTCCATCTCTGATTTCTGTCTCTATAACTATAGTTTCACACAAATATCTATATTTTCCTATAAGCTAAATTGAGTGGTCAATAGGTGAATGAATAGAACAAATTTTTTTTTCACATAACATAAAAATGAGTATTGAAGCACACTAAGAAAAAAATTGTATGATTAAAGATGCACTAGTATATTTATAGCTTTTAAAACTAGATGAATGTGTAAAATAGGAAACATGGAGGTTTGTTTTTCCTCTTCATTTTCAGACATAAATAAATTCATTTGCATTTTCTGAAAATGTCTAACTTTACTACCACAAGCCTTATTTTCTATATGAAACTGAATCGTATCTTTTAATCTGGTCTCACTTTAACTTCACTTTATCAGAATATAGAAAAACTGCCATCGTTTTTGTACTTTTCCAATGCCCAATGACAGTTTGGTCTAAAAATGTCTTTCATTACAGAAGTATTATGTACAAAGTAGCATATTGGCAAAAAGGAATTAAAGAGATAGATATTTCTTATTGTGGATCCAAGAGCCACCTAAAGGAACATTTTACTTTTAACATGCTCCCCAGGTCATTCTAATTCAGATTATTATAAAATCATGCTTTTATAAACATATCTAATGGAAACAAAGCATCTTTGAATGACCACGTGTAAATGATGCATCATAAGAAAAGAAAATAAATGAACTTGGTGAGCATCAAATTGTATTCTATCATGCACACATGAAACACTTGCAAACAGCACCTTGACATTGTCCTACACATGTTTATAGCCAGCTTTTATCCTACCTGGATGAGTCTAAATCAGATTCTCCTGTTACAATTCCAAAATGGGTACGGCCTCCCAGTATTCTAGTCATTTAACTATTTTTCTGTACAAAACAAACCACCCCCATCCTTGTTGAAATATCCGGATTAACTGTCTCATCATTAAAGGTGCTACTTGCCTCATTTAGACTCCTACTACCCCTAAAGAACTGACCCATTCAACAATGACCATCAGTTACCTATTCATCTGAAAATCTATCCTGCATATATTCATACATACAAGTATATTGCTCTTCCATTGCCTCCAGGTTCCTGTATAAATGCTCTGCAGATATTTAGAGACTATAAATTAGGTAAGGTGGATGAAACATGGTAAGATATCTTATCTTATTCTCACTCCTTTTACCAGTTAGCTTTCCAGTTTCCACTCATTGTATTAGATATGGAATGAGAATTGTCTCTCTCATTTTCAGCGTAGGCTTAAAGTAAAAGGACAATACACACTCTTCTGCAACGAATATTGCCACAGTTGTAAAGAGAAGGCAGAGCAAGATGATGGAATAGAAGCCTATACTTACCATTTCCCCCGCTGCAACACCAAATTTTATCTACACACAGAAAAGCACCATCACAAGAACTAAAAATCAGGTAAGCAATCATAGTACACGGCTTTAACTTCATAACCTGGAAAGAAGCATTGAGGAGGGCAGAAGAGACAGTCTTGAATCACTGATGCCACCCTTCCCCCAGCCCCTGGTTGTGGCCACGAGGTATGGAGAAAGAATATGTGCATTTTGGGAAGACAGAGAGCAGTGACTGGGAGACTTTACATTGAACTCAGTGCTACCCTGTCACAGTAAATAAATAAATGCCGAACTCAGCCAGCACTCATGCACAGAAGGAGCATTTGGACCAGCCCTAGTCAGAGGGGAATCTGCCATCCCAGTTGTTGGAACTTGGGTTTCCCATCAAGCCTTGCCACCACAAGCTAATGTACTCTAGGATCTTTGATATACTTGAAAAGCAGTCTAGGAAACAAGGTCTGCAATTCCTAGGGAACTCCTTGTGCTAGGCTCGACCTAGAGCCAGTGAACAGAGTGGCATGTGTCCTAAGGAGACACTAGCTGGTGAGGCTATGGGAGTGCTTGCACCATGCCACCCCCTACCCCAGGCAGTGTGGCTCATAACAATGAAAGGGACTCCTACTTTCTGTTTAACAAGAGGAGAATGAAGAATAAAGAAGACTTTGTATTGCATCATAGATACCAGCTCAGCCACAGTAGGACAGGGCACTGGGCACATTCAAGAAGGTCTCATTCCAAGCCTTAGCTCCGACATGGTATTTCTAGACACATCCTGGGTCAAAAGGGAACCTTCTGCCTTGAAGGAAAGGATGCAGTCCTGTCAGCATTTATCACCTGTTAACTGAAGAGCCCTTGGGCTCTGAATAATCAGCAGTGATACCCAGGTACTACACGAAGGTCTTAGTGAGCCTCTGAGATGTGATGGCTTCAGGGAAACTCAGCGCACTATCAGCAGTGGTGGTTATAGGGCAAAACTCCTTCTGCTTGAGAAAAGCAGTGGGAACTGCAAAAGGGACTTTGTTTTGCACCCTAGATACCAGCTTGGCCACAGTGGGGTAGAGCAACAAGCAGTCTTTTGGGGTTCCTGAGTTCACGCCTAGGCTCTTGGACAGCATTTCTAGACATGCCCTTGGCCAGAGGGAGTCCATTGCCATAAAGGGTGAGTTCAAGCCTGGCTGCATTCACCACAGGCTGATGCAAGAGGTCTTGGGCTTTAAGGGAACATAAGCGGTGGCCTGGAAGAAATCCCCCATGGACTGGTGTACTGCTGGCCACAGGGAGAGGCTCCTCTGCCTGTGGAAAGGGAAGAGAACAGTGGGAAGGACTTTGTATTGTGGTTTGAGGGCAAGCTTAGCCGCAGTAGAATAGAATAATCCCTGGCTCTAAGAAAGCATCACTGGGCTTATAGGAACTTGCCACCCTGAAGAGAAGGCCATGGGCAAGGGCCAGAACTGTGCTGGCTTCAGGAATGACCTAGCAAAGTCCCAGTGGTAGTGGCCACAGAGGTGCTTGCATCACCACACCCCCAGTTGCAGACAGCTCAGCACAGGAAAAGAGACTTCATTTGTTTGAGAGAAAGCAAGAGAAAAGAGCATACTCTCTGCCTGGTGATTCCAAGAATTCTTCCAGATATTATCCAAGACTACCAAAGAGGTACCTCTATGAGTCTGCAAGAACCACAGCATTATTAGACTTGGAGCCCAGGTCCCTTCAAATTCCTAGAAAGTCTTCCCTATAAGGATAGGGAAAAACAAGCCCAGACACTGAAAACTACAATAAATATCTAACTCTCTTTAATGCCCAGACACCGATGAACACTTACAAATATCAATACCATCCAGGAAAATGTGACATCATCATATGAACTAAATGAGGCACCAGGGACCAATCCTGGAGAAAGAGAGATATATGATGTTTCAGAGAGATAATTCAAAAAAGCTGTTTTGAGGAAAATCAAAGAAATTCAAGATAACACAGAGAAGGAATTCAGAATTTTATCAGATAAATCCAACAATTCTAGAGTGGAAAGATGCAACTGACATGCTGAATAATGCATCAGATTCTCTTAATAGCACACGTGATCAAGCAGACAAAGAATTAGTGAGCTTGAAGACAGGTTATTTAAAAATACACAGTCAGAGGAGACAAAAGAAAAAAGAATAAAAAACTATGAAGCATGCCTACAAGATCTAGGAAATAGCCTAAAAAGGGCACATATAAGAGTTACTGGCCTTGCCGGGTGCAGTGGCTCACGCCTGTAATCCCAGCACTTTGGGAGGCCAAGGTTGGCAGATCACGAGGTCAGGAGTTTGAGACCACTCTAGCCAACATGGTGAAACCCCATCTTTACTAAAAATACAAAAAAAAAATTAGCTGCGTGTGGTGGTGCATGCCTCTAGTCCCAGCTACTCAGGAGGCTGAGGCAGGAAAATTACTTGAACCCAGGAGGCAGAGGTTGCAGTGAGCTGACATCACGTCACTGCACTCCAGCCTGGGCAACAGAGCAAGACTCCATCTCAAAAACAACAACAAAAAAGAGTTACTGGCCTTAAAGAGGAGGTAGAAAAAGAAACAGGGGTAGAAAGTATATTCAAATGGATAATATTAGAAAACTTTCCAAACCTAGAGAAAGATATTAACACTCAAGTACAAGAAAGTTACAGAATACCAAGCAGATTTAACCTGAAGGAGATCACCTCAAGGCATTTAATAATCAAACTCCAAAAGGTTAAGGATAAAGAAAGGATCCTAAAAGCAGCAAGAGAAAAGAAACAAATAACATACATTGAAGCTCCAATACATCTTGCATCAAACTTTTCAGTAGAAACCTTACAGGACAAGAGAGAGTGGAATGACATATTTACACTGTTGAAGGAAATAAAATTTTTATTCTAGAATAGTATATCTTGTGAAAATATTCTGTAAGCATGAAGGAGAAATAAAGCCCTTCCCACACAACCAAAACCTGAGGGATTTCATGTCCTATAAGAAATACTAAAGGGAAATCTCCAATCTAAAAGAAAAGGATGATAATGAGCAAGGAGAAATCACTTGAAGATACAAAACTCATGGGGAATATTAATAGTAAGTACAGAGAAAAACACAGACGAGTATAACACTGTAATGGTGGTGTGTGAACTACTCTTACTCTAAATAGAAAGAATAAATTATGAACCAATCAAAAATAATAACTCCAACATTTTTGCAAGACACAGCAAAATAAGACATAAAGAAAAACAATAAAAAGTTAAAATAATGGGGGGATGAAGTTAAAGTGTAGAGTTTTTATTAGTTTTTTTTTTTGCATGTTTGTTTATGCAATCAGTGTTATTGTTATCCATTTAAAAAATCAGGTTGGTTGCTGTGGCTCAAGACTGTAATCCTGGCTAGTGCTTTGGGAGGCCGAGGCAGGCAGATCACCTGAGGTCAGGAGTTTGAGATCAGCCTGGCCAACGTGACAAAACCCTGTCTCTACTAAAAATACAAAAATTGGATGGGCATGGTAGTGCATGTCTGTAATCCCAGCTACTTGCGGGGCTGAGGCAAAATAATCACTTGAACCCAGGAGGTGGAGGTTGTAATGAGTCAAAATCGTGCCACTGCACTCCAGCCTGGGTGACAGAGCGAGACTTTGTCTCAAAAAAATAATATCAGTTTTAAGATAATAGTTGCAAGCCTCATGGTAATCTCAAAGCAAAAATCATACAATGGATACACAAAAACTAAAAAGCAAGAAGTTAAAGAATACCACCAGAGAAAAGGAAGACAGTAAGGCAGAAAAAAAGACCGCAAAATAATTGAAAATAAATAACAAAATGGCAGGAGTAGGTACCTACTTATCAATAATAATATTGAATGTAAATAAAATAAACTCTCCAATCAAAAGACAGAGTGGCTGAACTGATTAAACAAAAGAAGACCCAATGACCTGTTGCCTACAAGAAACACATTTCACCTATAAAGATAAACACACACTAAAAAAAAAGATGGAAAAAGATATTCCATGCCAATATAAACCAAAAAAGAGCAGGAGTATGTATAGTGACATTAGACAAAACAGATTTAAAGACGAAAAGTATAAAACACAATAATGGTCATTATACAATGATAAAGGGGTCAATTCCACAAGAAGATTTAACATTTGTAAACATATATGCACCCAACACTGGCACACCAAGACATGTAAAACAAGTATTACTAGAGCTGAAGAGAGTGATATACCCTAATACAATAATAGTTAGAGACTTCACCCCGCTTTCAGGATTGGACAGATATTCCACACAGAAAATCAACAAAGAAACTTCAGATTTAATCTGCATAGTAGAACAAATGGAACTAATATTTACAGAACATTTCATCAAACAGCTACAGAATGCACATTTTTTTCTCCCCTGCACATGGATCATTCTCAATGACAGACCATATAATAAGTCACAAAACTAGTCTTAAAACATTCAAAAAATTGAAACAATATCAAGAATCTAGCTGGGCATGGTGGCTCACACCTGTAATCACAGCACTTTGGGAGGCCGAGGCAGGCAGATCACTTGAGGTCAGGAGTTCAAGACCAGCCTGGCCAACATGGTAAAACCCCGTCTCTACTAAAAATACAAAAATCAGCCAGGCGTGGTGGTGCACATATGTAATCCCAGCTACTTGGGAGACGGAGGCTGGAAAATCACTTGAACCTGGAAAGCAGAGGTTGCAGTAAGCCAAGATCATGCAACTGCACTCCAGCCTGGGTGACAGAGTGAGACTCCATCTTAATAATAATAATAGTACTATCAAGAATCTTCTCTGACCATAATGAAATAAAACTACAAATCAATAACCAGAGGAATTGTGGAAGCTATAAAAACACATGGAAACTAAACAATATGTTCCTAAATGATCAGTGAGTCAGTGGGTCAATAAAGAAATTAAGAAGAAAATTTAAAAATTTCTCAAAACAACTGAAAATGGAAACACAATATACCAAAATCTTTGGAATACAGCAAAAGCAGTACTAAGGGGGAGACTGATAACTGTAAATGCCTACATAAAAACAAACAAACAAAAACCCTTCAAATAAATAACTCAGTGATGCATCTTAGAGAACTAGAAAAGCAAGAACAAACTCAATACAAACTTATTATAGAAGAAAAGAAATTAATAAAGATCAGAACAATTAAATGAACTTGAAATGAGGAAAACAACATAGAAGATCAATGAAACGAAAAGTTGGTTTCTTTGAAAATATAATCAAAATTTACTAATCTGTAGCCCGACTAAGAAAAGGAAAGACAAAAATAAATAAAATCAGAGATGAAAAAGGAGACATTACAATGGATACCACAAATTCAAAGAATCATCAGTGGTTACTGTGAGCAACTACATGCCTTTAAATTGGAAAACCTAGAAGAAATAGATAAATTCCTAGACACATACAACCTACCAACATGGAATCATGAAGAAATCCCAAACCTGAACAGACCAATAACAAGTAACAAGATCGAAGCTCTAAAGAAAAAGTCTCCCAGGAAAGAAAAGCCTGAAACCTGCTGGCTTCACTGCTGAATTCTACCAGACATTTAAAGAAGAGCTAGTACCAATTCTACTCAAACTTTTCAAAAAATAGAGGAAGAGGGACTGTTGCCAAACTCATTCAACGTGGCCAGTATTACCCTGATACCAAAAGAAGATGCCAGACAAACGTATCAAAAAAAGGAAACTACAGGCCAATATCTCTCCTGAATATTGATGCAAAAATCTTAAATAAAATACTACAAACTGAATTAGACAATATATTAAATAGAGCATTCATCATAACCAAGTGGGATTTATCACAAGGATGCAAAGATGACTCCACATACACAAATCAATGTGATATGTCATATCGACAGAATGAAGGACAAAAACCATATGGTTATCTCAATTGATGCTAAAAAGCATTTGATAAAATTAAACACCTCTTCCTGATAAAAACCCTCAAAAACTAGGTATAGAAGGAACGTATCTCAACATAATAATAGCAATAAATGACAGACCTAAGTCTAATATTATAGTTAATGGGGAAAAACTGAAAGCCTTACTTCTTATATTTGGAACATGACAAGGATACCCACTTTCACCACTATTATTCAACATAGCATGAGAAGTGCTAGCTAGAGCAATCAGAAAAGAGAAGGAAATAAAGGACATCCAAATTTATTTTTACTTTTAATTGTCTGTTTATTTATTTAGACAGAGCTCACTCTGTCACCCAGGCTAGAGTGCAGTGGCAAGAGCCTGGCTCACTGCAACCTCCATCTCCCAGGTTCGAGAGATTCTTGTGCCTCAGCCTCCCAAGTAGCTGGAATTACAGGCATGCACCACCACACCCAGCTAATTTTTGTGTTTTTAGTAGAGAAGGGGTTTCACCCTGTTGGTCAGGCTGGTCTTGAACCCTTGACCTCAAGTTATCTGCTCACCTTGGCCTCTCAAAATGCTGGGATTACAGGCCTGAGCCACTGCTCACAGCAAGGCATCCAAATTTAAAGGAAGAAGTGAAATTATTTATCTTTGCAGTTGATAACGATCTTACTGTTGGAAAAACCAAAAGACGCCACCGAATAACAATTAGAACTGATAAATAAATTCAGTATAGTTGCAGGATACAAAATTAAGCCAAAAAAATCAGAAGTATTTCTATATGCGAACAGTGAACAACTTGAAAAAGAAATAAAAAAGTAATCCCATTTACAAGGGCTACAAATAAAATGAAATACCTAGGAATTAACTTATCCAAAGAAGTGAAGGATCTTTATAATTAATACCATGAAGCACAGATGAAACAAAGAGGACACAAAAATTCAAGATATTCCATGCTCATCAATCACAAGAGCCAATATTGTTAAAATGTCCATGCTACCCAAAGGAATTTACAGATTCAATGCAAAATACCAATGACATTTTTCACACAAATGGAAAAAAAAATAATTCTAAAAGGTATATGGAATCACAAGTGACTCATAATAGCCAAACCCATCCTGATCACAAGGAACAACACTACAGGAATCATATTACTTGACTTCAAATTATACTATGAAGCTATAATAACCAAAACAGCATGGTACCAGCATAAAAAGACACACAGATCAATGGAACAGCACAGACAACTCAGAAACAAATCCATACACCTGCAGTGAATTCATTTTTGACAAAGGTACCAAGAACATACACTAGAGAAAAGTCAGTTTCTTCAATGGATGATGCTGGAAAAACTGGATATTCGTAGTCAGAAGAATGAAACTTGATCTCTGTCTCTCACCTTACAAAAATATCAAATCAAAATCAATGAAAAGACTTAAATCTAAGACTATGAAAGTACTACAAGAAAACTTTGGAGAAACTCTCTAAGACATTGTTCTGGGCAAAAACTTCTTCAGTCATATCCCAGAAGCACAGGCAACCAAAGCAAAATGGACAAATGGAATCACATCAAGTTAAAAAGCTTCTGCACAGCAAAATATATTATCAACTAAGTGAGGAGACAGCCCAGAGAAAGGGAGAAACTATTTGGAAACTATCCATCTGACAAGAGATTCATAATCAGAATATATAAGGAGCTCAAACAACTCTAGAGGAAAAAAAATCTAACAATCCAATTAAAAATGGGCAAAAGATTTGAATAGACATTTCTGAATAGAAATGGCAAACAGGCATATAAAAAGTGCTCAACATCATTGATCCTCAGAGAAATTTAAATCAAAACTACAATGAGACATCACCCAATTTAAGTGGGTTTTATCCAAAAGTCAGGCAATAACAAATGCTGGTAAGGATGTGGAGAAAAGAAAACCTTTGTACATTGTTGGTGGGAATGTAAATTAGTACAACTACTATGAAGAAAAGTTTGGAGGTTCATCAAAAAAACTAAAAATAAAGTTACCATAAAATCCAGCAATCTCACTATTGGGTATATATCCAAAAGGGATATATAAGTGTATCAAAGTGATATCCGCAGTATAACAAAGTGATATCCGCACTCCCATGTTTGTTGCAACACTATTCACAATAGCCAAGATTTAGAAGCAACCTAAGTATCCATCAAGGGATGAATGAATAAGGAAAATGTGACACTTATCCACAATGGGGTACTATTCAGCCATAAAAAAAGAATGAGATCATCCAGTCATTTGCAACAACATGGATGGTGTGCATCCATCAGCCCCTGTAGTTTACCCCCAGGCCCCAGGAGCATACCCACGAGCCCCAGGGATCCACCCTCAGGCAATGGGGTTCAATGCCCAGCCTCCCAGAGACCACCTGTAAGCTTCTGGAATCCATCCTGCAGCTCCTTGGGTCCACCCTCAGCCTCCTGAAGTTTACCCCTCAGATCCTGGAGTGCACCCCCAATGTCCCTGATGCTGAAGGCCATGCTTTCCTCTGAAAGCCCTGGGAGCTATCTCCTCCTCCTGCAACTAAATGAGAAGCTACCCGCTTTCCCAGCAAGCGTAGTGTTCTGTGGGTTCCTGCATTTCCCCATGGAGAGAAATTTGATCTTTTGTATTGGCCCCGAGCTCATTAAACTGCCTCTCCCGGGGAGAAAAACAAAAAACAACAAAAAATTTATTGCACTGTCCAATTTAGAACTAATAAGTTTCTCAATTATAATAAAATCATAAATCTATAATTACCTTGTGATTTCATTTAAATGAAATTCTGGAATAAGCAAACTTACCTATCATGTCATGGCAGAAAACAAAGTAGTAGTTGCCTGGAACAGGGAAGAGGAAAGACTGACCACATAGTAACATGACAAAACTATTTATTTATTTATTTATTTATTATTTATTTATTTTTCATTTGTGTGGATTTGATAGAAATGTTCCATACCTTGATTGTGGTGGTAGTTACATGGGTGTATACATTTTTCTGAACATGTTGAACTGTACAATCAAAATTGGTGCATTGTATTGTATGTAAACTATAAAGTTAGATTTTTAGAAGAACAAAAAATAAAATGTATGTTAATATGTCCTTAAAAAAGTTTATAACTAAAATGAGGCCATCACTGCTGCCAATGCAAATGTGTGCATGGAGGGCAGCATCCTTGAAACCACCAGTGACCCACCCATGCTGCCATCACTGCTGGTACAAGTGCAAGCATGGACACAGGCAACCCTACCCCTGCCAGTCCCCCACCCCCACCACACCACCTACACAAGTTCACCCAAGAACACCAATGTCCCACTCCTACCAGTACCCAACCCCAGCAAATACACATGCACAAATACAAATACACATGCTGTGCTGCCATGGCTACTGGTACACATGAGCAAGCATGAATTCTGCTGTCACCACCCCAAGAAAGTGTTTTAGCCAGTACAACCCATCAGAGTGTTGTGGCTGCAGACAGGGAATGTTTCAGTCCCTCCAGCACAGCAGATTCCTAATTTGCAGAGGCCAGAAAACAAAGCTGGGGGCCCAATACCTGCCTCCCAGAATTAGAGCACACAGCCCAAGAGTGCTGAGCTGAGCCTTGGTGCCCCAAAATCGTCCAGAAACAAAGCCAGTCAACTGAATCAACCTTATATCACAATCAAACCCCCAAAGGCATCAAAGAAGAAACAAGTAAATTCTCATCCAAAGGATAGCAATTCCAAAGATAGAAGAAACAGCCAACACAGATGAGAAAGAACTAGTGTGAGAACTATGGCAACTCAAAAACCAGAGTGTTTTCTCACCTCCAAATAACTGCTCTAGTTCCCCAGAAATGGTTCTTAACCAGGCTGATATGGCTAAAACGACAGAAATAGAATTCAGAGTGTGGATATAAATGAAGACCATCAAGATTCAGGAGAAACTTGAAATGCAATCCAAGAAATCTAAGGAATACAATAAAATAACCCAGGAGATACATGAAATGTCTGTTTTAAGAAAGAACCAAGCTGATCAGATAGAGCTAAAAACTCACTTTAAGAATTTTTTTAATTTTTATTTTTTTAAAAATTTTGAATGCATAGCTTTTTTTTTTTTTAACACTTTAAGTTCTGGGATACATATGCAGAATGTGCAGCTTTGTTACATAGGTATAAACGTGCCATGGTAGTTTGCTGCACCAATCAACCCATCATCTACATTAGGTATTTCTCCTAATGCTATCCCTCCCCTAGCCCCCTACCCACCGACAGGCCTGGTGTGTGATGTTCCCCTCCCTGTGTCCATGTGTTCTCATTGTTCAACTCCCACTTATGAGTGAGAACATGCGGTGTTTGGTTTTCTGTTCTTGTGTTAGTTTGCTGAGAATGACGGTTTCCAGCTTCATCCATGTCCCTGCAAAGGACATGAACTCATCCTTTCTTATGGCTGCATAGTATTCCATGGCATATATGTGCCACATTTTATTCAGTGTATCATTGATGGGCATTTGGGTTGGTTCCAAGGGTTTGCTATTGTGAACAGTGCTGCAACACACATACTTGTGCATGTGTCTTTTTAGTAGAATGATTTATAATCCTTTGGTTATATACTCAATAATGGGATTGCTGAGTTAAATGTTATTTCTGGCTCTAGATCCTTGAGGAATTGCCACACTGTCTTCCACAATGGTTGAACTAATTTACACTCCCACCAATAGTGTAAAAGCGTTCCTATTTCTCTGCATCCTCTCCAGCATCTGTTGTTTTCTGACTTTGTAAGGATCGCCATTCTAACTGGCATGAGATGGTATCTCATTGTGGTTTTGATTTGCATTTCTCTAATGACCAGTGATGATGAGCTCTTCTTCATATGCTTGTTGGCTGCATAAATGTCTTCTTTTGAGAAGTGTCTGTTCATATCCTTTCACGTTAAAAATCCTGAACAAACTAGGCTCTGAAGGAGCATACCTCAAAATAGTAAGAGCTATCTATGACATTCCCACAGCCAACATCATATTGAATGAGCAAAAGCTAGAAGCATTCCTCTTCAGAACAGAAACAAGACAAAGATGACCACTCTAATACTCCTAATGAACATAGTACTGGAAGTCCTAGGAAGAAAAATCAGACAATAGAAATAAATAAAAGATAAAAGGCATCTTAATAAAAAGAGAGGAAGTCAAACTATCTCTGTTTGTAGGTGATATCATTCTATACCTAGGAAGCCCCATAGTCTTTGCCCCAAAGCTCCTAGATCTGATAAACAACTTCAGCAAAATTTCATAATACAAAAATCATGTCCAAAAGTCAGTAGTATTTCTATACACCAACAACATCCAAACCAAGAGCCATATCAAGAACACAATCCTATTTATAATAGGCATAAAAAGAATGAAATACCTAGGAATAGAACTAACCAGAGAAATGAAATATCTCTACTATGAGAATTACAAAACACTGCTCAAAGAAATCAGAGATGACACAAACAAATGCAAAAACATTCCATGCTCATGGATAAGAAGGATGAATATTGTTAAATGGCCATACTGCCCAAAGCAATTTACAGATTCAGTGCTATTCCTATCAAACTACCAATGACATTCTTCAGCAAATTAGAAGATGCTATCTTTAAATTTATATGAAACCAAAAAACAAACAAACAAACAAAAAAATCAACCCAAATAGCCAAGGCAATCCTAAGTAAAAAAAACAAAGTTGGAGGCATCACATTACTCAACCTCAAACTATACTATATGGCTACAGTAACTAAAACATCATGGTACTGGCATCAAAAAAGACTCACTGACCAATGGAACAGAAGACAGAGCCCCCAGATAACGCAACACACCTACAATAACTTGATCTTCCAGAAATTGACAAAAACAAGCAATGGAGAAAGGACTCCCTATTCAATAAATGGTGCCGGAACTGGACCCATTCCTCTCACCATATATAAAAATCTACTTAAGATGAATTAAAGACTTAAATGTAACACCTAACATATGAAAACTCTGGAAGACAATTGAGGCAATACAATTCTGCACATAGGCTCTGGCAAAGATTTTATTACAATTCGCCAACAGGAAATGAAATAAATCAAAAGTTGACACATGAGAGCTAATTAAACTCAAGAGCTTCTACACAGCAAAAAGAAACTATCAACAGAATAAACAGACAACCTACAGTATGGGAGAAAATATTTTCAAAGTATGCATCTGACAAAGGTCTTATATCCAGAATCTACAAAGTACTTAAACAAATTAATGAGCAAAAATCAAACAATCCCATTAAAAAGTAGGCAAAGGACATGAACATATACTTTCCAAAAGTGTACATACATGTGGCCAACAGGCATATGAAAAAATGTTCAGTATCACTAATTATTAGAGAAATGCAAATGAAAACTACAATGAGATACTATTGCATGCCAGTAAGAATGGCTATTATTAATAAGTCAAAAAATAATAAATGCCGGCAAGGTTGTGGAGAAAAGGCAATACTTTTACACTGCTGATGGGAATGCAAATTAATTCAACAATTTTGGAAAGTGGTTTGGCGATTTCTCAAAGAACTTAATACAAAATTACCATTTAACCCAGCAATCTCATGATTGGGTATATACGCAAAGGAATAGAAATTGTTCTACCATAAGGACTCATGCACATGTATGTTCATCATAGCACCATTCACAGTAGCAAAGGCATGGAACCAACCTAAACGCCCATCAATGTTAAACTAGGTAAAGAAAATGTTGTACACATTCACCATGGAATACTATGTAGCCATAAGAGAGAATGAGATCATGTCCTTTGAAGCAACATAAATGGAGCTGGAGGTCATTATCCTAAGTGAACTTATGCAGGAACAGAAAACCAAATACTGCATGTTATAAGTAGAAGCTAAACATTGAGTACACATGGACACAAAGAAGAGAAGAACAGACACCCCAGGATCTACTTCAGGGTGGAGGGTGTGCAGAGGCTGAGGATTGAAAATCTGTCTGTCAGGTACTATGCTTATTACCTGAGTGACAAAACAATTCATATAGCAAACTCCTGTAACATGCAATTTGCCTTTATAACAAACCTGCACCTGTACCCATGAACCTAAAATAAAAGTTTGCAAAAAAATTAATTCCCCAGGAATCAAAGAAAGAAACAAAATAAAACAAAATTACTTATAAAGTCATCTGAAACTTAGAGAAACCATCCCGTTTCCTATGGAATTATTTTATGTTACATTTATGACACACAGAACAGAATAAAAGCAGAAATGTTTATTTTAAATCATTTTCCTGTATTTTTAAATTGGGAGTTCATCAGATTGTGGATGGAATTTTCTCAAAGTGCCAAGCAATTAGCTAATCCTGTTTTTAGATGCAAACTTTTTTTTATGGGTATAATTTTAGTGCTTGCAACAATCTATACCTATGAATAAAACAGAAGAACCTAATTGGATCAAGGAAAGCACCTACATATTAAATTAGTTGTGTGTGTCAAGCTGCATATATAAGCAGAGTAGATAAATTTAGCTTTGGTTAATATATATATAAGTTTTTCAAATGATGACTAAATGGGCATTAAATACCTGTGAAATAGGTAAGCAGAAAGATTAAGTAGCAGTGATGCCTAGGCTTGCAGAGTTATCATAAAACTATTACATTAAGGAGGTCTAAATTACAGGACTGTAATTCTAGGATCAAAAGCCCGGCTTTGTTCCCCGTCATAAAAATCAGTGTGCCATATTTTCTTCTATGCAGGTATGATATAAATCTGCATTATTTTCCAAATGTGATATTTATGTGAATTTTTACACGTTAAAAATATAAGGAACCAAGGTAGGATATTTAGTTGCTGGAATTTCTTTGGTTTAGAATCCATTTGATATATGTAAGGTTGTTCTCACCATTGAGGCTTCATATCTACACTCTGCACACATATTGTAAGCATATACAGGCCTTTTACAACTGTTACAATTGAAAATGAGATTCTGAGTACTCAGAAGCAATATGGTATACTGAAAAATATTACTAGACCTATGTCTGAATCCTAGAAAACTCAAATACCTCCTTGAATTTCCATTTTCTCATCTTTAAATAGAAATTCATAAAGTCTGCCTTTCCTAGCTGATGGGATTGTGAGGATCAAATAATGTAATATATGAAAGAGTCCTGTACAATATGAGTTGGTATCATTATTATAGTTAGGTTTTCTGTCACACAATATGTATCATCAAGAAGTATGTATCAAATTTCTACTATGTTTATATATTAACTGGAACTTTTTATCAGCCCTTTTGCTTTTAAGCACAAAATTAATGCATTCATATCATACAGCCAAAATTTATTAGACACACAGAATCAGGATTTTAATAACTTTTAATAGCTCTGTGGAAGCATCATATCACAAGCTTCAGTTTAACTTAGATGCAAAACCTAATTCAACTCTTTGGGTTTTTATATTTTAGAAACACTTGGGAACATGTAATTTCCTCACCTCTGCAACAACCTGCCACTGTTAATGACCAATGTAAACCATTGACAAGAGAGGAATCTATGCACCTTGAACCACAATATCAAATTCAATTTCCCACCACAATTTCTGAGAATATAAATCACAGAAAAATACAGCATTGAAATAATATCAATATTTTGAATCTGAATATTTATTCGGTTCTGTTTTTTTACTGTAAATCTGAATTCTGATCAGCATTTATCAACATAAACACACATGCATTACTGCACTGGAATTATGAAATACAATGTCAATATCAATGACTAAGTACAATATCTCTTTCTTCATCCAAAATTTTTAATATTTTATGAGCACATAACTATTTGACCATATGTATTGTGTAAATACCATGGCATGTACTTGTATATAGAAATGAATTACACATACTATGAGGATTAAACAAATACATACAAGCAGATACGATTTTACATTTATATAATTTATTTTATTCATAGCATTTGCAACTTCTTATGGACCATATTGGTAGGTTTATGAAATATAGTCCAAAAATCGGTTTTTTGTTATTCGATTTTATTTTAGATTCAGAAGGTACATGTGCAGGTTTGTTACATGGATATGCTGAAAATTATGGTGAGGTTTTGGCTTTTAGTGAGCCCACAACCTAAATAGTGAACATTGTATCCAACAGGTAATTTCTCACTCCTCAATCCCCTTCCATCCTTCCCCTTTTTGGAGTCTGCACAGAAATAGTTTCCAGAAACTATGTCATCTTGCACCACCAGTCCTTCCTCTTTTAGGTATTAGTTGCACTAATAAAAACAGAAAGGTAGATATCTTAGATAATTTTAATATATCCAGCCATGTGACTGTCTCCATCAACCATGAGGCTCTAGAGGACTGAGTTAAAATAGGCCTGAGAGAAGTGAGGAGAGATCACTGGGAGGTTTTGTCCCAAGACTTGAGTAACCAAGATGGACAATAAAGTGAGAAGAGCAACATAGAAAGGGAAGAAATTAAAGGCAAATCAAGTAGACTTTGCAATTTTATTATACGTGGCTGTGAATCTATTATCATCGTGATTAAAATGAATAATTTCAATTCTAATAGCAAAATAACTGGCTTCAGAATTGAATCCACAACATAATGAGTAAAATGTCTATTATCTAAAGAGTGACTGTATACTCAAGTTACTTGTCTATAAAGATAAGCAATAAATCTTTTCCTCAAGTTATATGAATGGTATAAGTTTATAAAAATGAGTCATCCTGTGTAAGTTCAAGTTGAACACATGGCAAACAGAATGTAAATTCAGAATTGAGAAACCAATTTGCAAAACTCACACTATGCTGATATTCTGATAACTGAATTAAGCACCATTAATGATCTTTATTTCATTTATTTCATTTGCATTTTGGAAGTTTTAGTTCCAGTTCAATAATAAAATGAAAGCTTGGAATAAATCAAAAAGTATTTGAAGTCCTTGAAAGATATTAAGGTAACAGAGTTTTCAAATGTTGAAGTAAATCAAACTTCAATATTAGATGCCCACTGCTAAAGACTGTCAGACGGACTACAGTGTTTTTGATGTACTGCATGTTAGCTTTAATCACATTACGTAGAAAACTCCTATGACAGCATTCTGTTCCACTTCGTGGCCATATACACTATCAATTATAGCTCCCACTTAGCTAGGACAGAAAGAAGCCTCATTATAAAGAGTAGAGATTGGTCCTCCAATCTGATTCAAAACAATGATTCATAAACCATCTTTAAAATTATAGATGCCAATATACCCATATAATCCCCATGTGGATACTCATATTTTTCTCTAATCTTGGTTGATTTCTTAAATGAAGTTATTTTTGCATAATAGGCTATTACGTTTCCCTTCTCCTCACTTCAGTGTCTGCTTTGTTGTTTTTTGTTTGTTTGTTTTGTCATTTTGAGGACTCACTTTATTGCACTTGAGTGTAACTTTACATCTAAAGATGCAACTAGTTATCTTTGTCCAGAATGAAGAGTTAGGTCACAAATTAAAAACCTATATAATAATATAAATGCACATAAAAGTGAAAATAAATTGTTATATCTTGAAACGGAAAACATCAAATAATGTTTTTTACATATAAGTGAAGAATATTAAATTCCTGCATGTGTGTGTATGTGCTATTTCTTTTTAAGTAAAAAACAGATTTTAAGTTGATTAAAATTTAGAATAAGATATAAATTTTAAAAGTTAAGTCTAAATACATAAATATAATTTTAAATAAGTGTAAAAAATTAACTCTAGTTGGGTAAAAGACTTAAATGTAAAGTCCAAAACTATAAGAATCTCGGAAGACAACCTAGGCAATACCATTCAGGACATAGACATGGGCAAAGATTGCATGACAAAGATGTCAAAAGTAATTGCAACAAAAGCAAAAATTGACAACTGGGATCTAAGGAAATGAAAGAGCTCTTACACAGCAAAAGAAACAATCAAAGAGTTAACAGACAACCTACAGAATGGGAGAAAATTCTTGCCAACTATGTATCCAACAAAGGTGTAATATACAGCATGTATAAGGAACTTAAATTTACAAAAAAAAACCACACAAACAATTTTATTAAAAAGTGAGCAAAGGACATGAACAGATACTTTTCAAAAGAAGACATACATGCAGCCAACCATCATGAAAAAAATGATCAAAATCACTGATCATTAGAGAAATGCCAATCCAAACCACAGTGAAATACCATCTCACACCAGAGTGCCTATTTTTAAAAAGTCAAAAAATAACAAATGCTGATGAGGTTGTGGAGAAAAAGGAATTCTTATATACTGTTGGTGGGAGAGTAAATTAATTCAACCATTGCAGCAGACAGTGTGGTGATTCCTCAAAGACCTAAAGACAGAAATACCATTCGACACAGAAATCCCATTACTAAGTATATACCAAAAGGAATATAAATCATTCTATTATAAAGACATGTGTACACATATGTTCACTACAATAGCAAAGACATGAAATCAACCTAAATGCCCATCAATGATAAACTGGGTAAAGAAAATGTGGTACATATATACCATGGAATACTATGCAGTCATAAAAAAGGTCATGTCCTTTGCAGGGACATGGAGGGAACTGGAAGTCATTATCCTTAGCAAACTAACAAACGAACAGAAAACCAAATACTGCATGGTCTGGCTTATAATTGGGAGCTAAATGATGAGAACACACTGACACATAGCGGGGACAACACACACTGGGGCCTATCAGACGGTGAAGGGTGGGAGGAGGGAAAGGATCCAGAGAAATGGCTACTAGGCTTACTATCTGGGTGATGAAATAATCTGTACAACAAACCCCTATGACATAAGTTTACCTATGTTACAAACCTGCACATGTACCCTGAATTTAAAAGTTAAAAAAAATAAGTAAATAAATCTAATATGGCTCTTATGTAAAGCCCCAAACACATGTCATATGAATATATATAGCAACGAAATATGATATTTGCTAGTATTTCAAGTAGCATATATGAGCTTTAAAAGAAGATTCATAGTCTCTCTTTCATTCCAGGTTTCTCCTACAGGCAACTTTGCCCAGTGTCTGGTTTGTTTCAATAGTGACTTTCTGTTTATTAATACAATTATAAATCGAATGCCATTGGATGGTTCTTAAATTGCTCTTTTTCTAAGAGAAACATAGTAATGAAATAATCCTGCAACCTGTAAACTACTATGTATCAAGTAGCAGTATAAAGGAAAGTAAAATAAAGGAACTCAGTTCAAATTTTATTCAGGCACATTATCCAGGACATCTCATGGCCACATATCCCAGTATGCCTACTTGCTCTTCATGTCTACTTTCCTTTAGGAGAAGTTAAAGTGAAGAGTATTTTAAGAATTCCACTCTGCCTTTCCTGGAATAGGAAGTTCAGGCATTAGGGTACCAGGTACTCTAGATATCCACATAATGGGTATTCCATATTCATTGAACAGCAAACTCCTTTTCTCTAAAGTATATATTTATAGTTTTATAACTTCTTTTGAGCAACTGGTTTCCTTCAACGATTGTCACATGTGTTTTCAGTTTCAAAGGCTAAATTAAACATTACACTGTGGTTACTTTTTCTTTTCTTTTTTTTTTTTTTTTTTTTTTTTTTTTTTGAGACAGAATTTCACTCTTGTTGCCCAGGCTGGAGTGCAATGGCACGATCTCAGCTCACCGCAACCTCCGCCTCCCGGGTTCAAGTGATTCTCCTGCCTCAGCCTCCCGAGTAGCTTGGATTACAGGCATGTGCCACCATGCCCAGCTAATTTTGTATTTTTAGTAGAGACAGGGTTTCTCCATGTTGGTCAGGCTGGCCTCGAACTCCCGACCTCAGGTGATCTGCCTGCCTGGGCCTCCCAAAGTGCTGAGATTACAGGCGTGAGCCACCGTGCCAGGCACACACTGTGGTTACTTTTTAATTCCAAGAAGTTCTTCCTTGAACTTCTGGTGAAGAAGCAATGACTCTATTAAACATGGAATCCTGTAAAAATTTCTTATTTATCAGGTTTTGACCAATGAAGTAAAAATTTTCACATAAAATATCTTGTTGGATTCTGACAAAACTGTGAGTTGGAAATATATCATTTCCATGGTCAACTTAAATAAGTAAAGTGATTTTAAAAAGGTTACACAATTGGGAAATGACAAGAACATTGATCTTGTCCATTCCTTGCTAAATTTACCCTGCTTTGCTTCTAGGTCCCAAGTAGACATAAAGAGATAAACTTAAGCCAAATTTACAATTTGTAAGTGATTTAGCAATTAATGAGGCATTTATATAAGCTCTTGGCACACTTCAGATTATCCCCATGGCAATGTTGGGTGTTGAAATGTTAGTATCTTCAGTTAAATGATTGTGAAATGGAATCAGGAATACATGAGCATGGGCTGAGGTTCTACTAAGCATGAGTTCTGTGATCTTGGCCACGTTTATTATTATTTCTTAGCCTTCATTTCCTCATTTGAAAAATGGGGATAACAGTTCTGAGAACAACCATGTTGAAAATTAAATGACATGTCAAGAGCAGATGACAACACTCAGCCTGACATTTAAAAAATACCAGACTTGGACAGATGCAGTGGCTCACGCCTACAATCCCAGCACTTTGGGAGGCCAAGGCAAGTGGATCACGAGGTCAGGAGTTCAAGACCAGCCTGGCCAAGATGGTGAAACGCCGTCTCTACTAAAAATACAAAAATTAGCCGGGTGTGGTGGTGGGTGCCTGTAATCCCAGCTACTCAGGAGGCTGAGGCAGGAGAATCGCTTGAACCTGGGCGGCAGAGGCTGCAGTGAGCCGAGATTGTGCCACTGTACTCCAGCCTGGGTGACAGAGCAAGACTGTCTTAAAAAAAAAAAAAAAAAAAGACTCAGTTCAATGTCAGTTCTTCCGCTGCTCCTTATTTTCCTTATTTGAAACATAGTAACCCAAAAAATGATAGTTTTGACCTCTTGGGTTTGACAATTTTCAGAACATTCTTGATGATAGTATTATGAATTTTTAAATAATTAAAGAAAGTATAGATAGGTAGTTATGAATTACTACTATGAAGACTGCAAAATATTACAAATCAGATTTAAAGTCAATTTTATAGCTATTTTTAAAACTAATAGGTTGACACCCTGGGGTTTATTATCATGCTGCTGTCTGTTGAACTAATGCAGTTTGGGACCCTGTGCCTCAGGATACACGTAAAGCCTGTATTCGTATGCCAGTAAAATAAAAATTGTCTTCTGCTAGTGCAATAAAGCACACAGGCAATTGGAGAAACACCTGAAATGTAATAAAATTGTTTCTAATAAGTTTCTAAATTTATATGATAACTTAAATATGTAAATACATGAATAGTACTAATAATTAACATTAGAATACATGAAATAAGAACTGTGAATAAAAGATGTGTTTTACATTCAATGAACATTTATTAAATAACTAAATATGCAGAGATCTTTTTTCGTACTGAGGAAATATTTCTGCTTCTAATTTCCAGCAACAAAAATGTAATGACTTTATTTTGAAATTTATTTTTTGACTTTAATTCAAACAAGAAGTCAATAGTAAATAATACAATTTTCTTACTTCATAAAGTTTTGATAGTGTCTACTTCAAGAAACCTTATTAGAGAGGAAAATGCTAAGAATTCTAGGGAAAGTGCTATATTTTCAGAGAATAAAAATTATGCATATGATGAAGTTCAACTATATTACAAGTATATAGAATATATCTGAAAATTGATGATGTTAACATATAATGCTTCTTGTGGTTTGGAAAGAAAAAAATTAATCCCACCTACCAGATTAATTAGGATGTTATAGAATGTTTGTGTCTGCAAGGTTAGTGTCTATTCTGTGTATCTTCTCTTAGTATAAATGCAGAAGTAAGTTGAGAGACAGAGAAAGAGAGAGAAAATGAATTAGATAATTATAACTGGACAATACTTATTATTATGGTATTTTTAAATAATTTTCTTCACCATGATTTTTATTTCTCTGTGATTTATAATGCATTAAAAGAGCAAGTCAATCAATGCAGACTTGAAAATCAGCACAACTTTATCCATTCTTTGTAAAACAAAGCACTTTAATGACTTAGTATCACCCATTCTGATCCCATTCCCACAAAACTCACTTACATGTAAAGCTAATTTTAAAACTGGACTTTATTGGGATTGCATTTGTTTTTCCTGCAGTATTCAACATTTTTGACAAATATTGTGCCTATTATAGTTTCTGTAGTCATAAGGCATCTAAATTTCAAACCAAGGGTCAGATCATACTAGTTAAATATTCAAGTTTACTAAAGCAGAAGAAATGGGGATGGGACATTCATTCCAACTCCTCTGAGTTGCTATGGGGATAAGAATGATTTGAGGAGCAAATTAGGGAGAATAATGAAAACAGAGTTTTACCTTTTTGTTACTTCTCAGTGTGCATGTAGTAGCATTTGCTGGAACTGGATGGAGACTAAAGAAAATATACTGTATGATAACTGAGTTGAAAGTGTTCACAATGGTATTTACATTTCAAAAACTATTTGTATGAGCATTTTACCAGCTTTATTGAAATATAATTTAAGTGTCATACTGTCCACCTTTTAAAACATGAAATTCATTAGTTTGCAGTATATTCAGACAGTTGTACAACCATTAAAACTATCAAAAATTTTCTTTTTATTATTAACCTGAATGCCTAGAGTTATTTACCCAGGCTCTCACTAACACTTTACCAAATTTTAATATACTTCACACCCATTTGATTCTTTGAAGATATATTGAGACTAATATCATACAATCTTAGTGATGAAACTCTATGCACTCTCAAATCTTCCCATGTACAAAGATAAAGGAATGTAGTTTTGTATATTTTTCACTATATTGTTACTAGTACTGTAGAAATAAGAATATAATCTCTCCATGTACATGTATCTCAACAATTCATGATATTTTGTTTCTGGCCATAAATAGTAAACACCTAATTAATATACAGGTACATTTCCACCAGCTTGGAATTTAAAGCATGCTGTATTTGAAATCATTGCTATATCACTGCTCATATCACAAACCTAGGAGATACATTTTCTCTTTTGAAGTGCCAATGCCTTTTAACATTAAAAGTTTAAAAATAAATTGAATCATCCAATTTCCAATAGTGAAGAGAAAGAGTAACACTTGTAAACCAACACTGGGAAATTAAACATGAAAGAGACATTAGGACAAAAAGATTTATCATATGCCGACTAAGGAAAGGAAGAGAACCGCAAGAAGTTTCTTAATGGTTTAGTGCTTGGAATTGAATGGGTAATAGTGCTTTCGAACTATATTTCATTTGATGCACTTGTTCATCTATCCCTCTATCCCTCAATCTATCAATCCTGTAACTCATGATTTGGTTTATAGAATTTGTGGAATGCTAATTTTCATAGTATAGAAATTTATATGAATAAACTTTTGTAGATTTTTGTATCAAGAAAGAGAATATCATTTATTGAAGTCAATGTGAGTAGACACAAAGGGGGCATCATGCCATACAGTTCTTTCAACAAATATTTATTACATTGAGATGTAAACCAGCTGACTTTGTCCAACTTGGAGCTACATGGGGTTCCAGTGCAATCAGAACCAAAACTTGCAAGGGAATTATAATCAATTTTCAACATGCATTGGAACATTTAGTTTTATTAAAAATATGTATTATTCGTTAACTCTGTCTGCTAGAAACTATCCTAGGTACTCGGAATATAAAGGTGTGTATGCCACAAAGTATATGTTACACTTAAAGAGTTTACAACCTACTTTGCTGGTACTTAGGTTAACTATCTTATATGAAAAGCTCATGATGAATGTCTCCATTTTAGAAGATACAGAAACAGGCACAGAATGATTAGTTAACTTGTCCAAGGTCACACAGTTAGAGAGTGTCAAAGTGTAAGACTTTGAACCCAGACGGTCTAGCTCCAGAATCCATACTCTTAAAAAGTGTACTGTACATATACTGCAATCTTTAGTGAATACTAAATAAATGGACAGCATCAAAACATGCTTCCAGTAAATTATGAATTTCATGATGGAAAATCATTCTACTATCCTTTATATTCATACCAATAAGATGATATGAAATACAACAAAAAACCTTCAATTTACATCAATACCTAACTTATCTTCTGAAAATATTTTTCTTGAAGTATGAATGCCAGCTTTTCTAAGAAGTAAAGGTAATTTTATTTTCATGTAATACAAGCTTGTACCGCTAACCGAAAGCAGAAAATGAATCAATGTGGGTTTCAGGGTCACCAAAATATTGGTATGTATATGTCAATAATACCTCTATTTTTAAGCCAAATATTTTGTTACATTTGGAAATTAAAACACACTGACAGCTGGGCCTGGTGGCTCATGCCTGTAATCCCAGCACCTTGGGAGCCCGAGGCAGGCAGATCACCTGAGGTCAGGAGTTCGAGACCAGCCTGCCCAACGTGGCGAAACCCCGTCTCTGCTAAAAATACAAAAAATTAGCCCAGCATTGTGGTGGGTGCCTGTAACCCCAGCTACTCGGGAGGCTGAGGCAGGAGAATCACTGAGAGGCAGAGGCTGCAGTGAGCAGAGATTGTGCCACTGCACTCCAGACTGGACAGCAAAGCGAGACTCCATGTCAAGAAAAAACAAACAAACAAAAAACAACGCTGACAATCATTGGTGCTAAGAAAAACTTAATTTTGTAATAATAAAGTATAAAAATATACTAACTAGACAAGGGAGAATTACCTTAGTATAAAATATTTACAGAATATTTATTTTTAATTAAAATACCTGTTTATCTACAGATACTATTTTTTTCTATCCATAAATACAATTTTAATCTTTCAAAGGCTAAATTCAATCTTACTAAAATTAAAATTCCAATTAATTTTTCAAGAAAGGATGTGACTCTCCTTAAGTTCCACAGGAGATCCTCTAAAACTGTGAGGACTAAGCTGTGATTTTTTTTTATATTGCCCAAATTTCCTTCTAAGGGGTCAGGGGAGTCATGCCCTACAAACCATAAATTCTTATCAGATGGGTTTTAGTTAACCTTTAACCTTGTATATCATGACTGACTTACTTTCCAATCTGACTCTGGCATAACAAGCATAACAAGAGAAAAAAACAAAATGTTTTACCCCAAAATATATTTCCTTGCATACCTTGAAATTATCCTGCAATGTCTCTTGTGGGAAAAATCCACATTCTACAGAGAATCCCCTTTCCCCTTTGCTTTCCTTCCTTCCTTTCCAGATCCAGGAGATAATCAGCTAAGAGATAGGCAACCTTTTAGGTCCAATAAGAAACATTTTACAACCTGCTCTCTCTGAAGTTGGCTATCTGAGAGCTTCCTCTGCACTGTAAAACGTGGTCTCCACAATCCTTTATCCTAACCTAAACATTTCCTTTCTATTGATCCCAGGTCTTCAGATAAACTCAACCAATTGTCAACCAGAAAATGTTTAAATTTACCATTAGCCTGGAAGCCTTCATTTAGAGTTTTCCCACCTTTCTGAACCAAACAAATGTATTTCTTAAATGTATTTGATTGATGTCTTATGTCTTCCTAAAATATATAAAACGAAGCTGTGCCCCATCCACCTGGGGCACATGTTCTCAGGACCTCCTGAGGGCTGTGTCACGGGCCATGGTCACTCATATTTGGCTCAGAATAAATCTCTTCAAATACGGAGTTTAAGTCTTTTCATCAACAACTGTATTTGATGAGAAATCATGAGCTACCTATGCCACAGAATGAATTTATTTTTCTAATAGACATTTAACACGTAGCACTTTCAACCAAAGAGTGTTACTTTCCTCTAAATCATTTATTAAAATTCAGACTTTTTGCCACATTTAGCTTCTTTTGATAAGTAGCTATGTAAAAAGAACGAAGTATATTCTTTTTCAGTAATTAATATAACTAAGTTTTGAATTGTTTGGTAATTCGTTATCTGGCTTATCAATGTTAGGTGCCTTGCATTTACTCATTGAAACTAGATAGCTTATTCTTTAAATAAAAGCTTTTTTGTTTCATTTACTTTGAGCCATATCTTACAAAATGGAAGTTCTTTCGTCTCAAAGTTTTAAATAATGAGTATTTGAGAGAAGGGACACTTTGAACATAACCAAACTGAGAAGATAAATGTTGAGGAAGAGAGAGAAAGTCGGTTTTTTTTTTTTCAAAAGAAAAGCTTTATATCAATAGGTAATCAAGAATTATTTGTATTTTGAAATGATGTGTTCCTGGAAGATCATGTCTTCTCCAAACCTCAGTAAGTTAGACTACTGGTCATTTCTTCTAAACCATGAAATTCCTTCATTTTAAGGCATCCACAAACATGGTATATTACTAAGTACTTCTACTTCTAATGCTGATACAAATGTCATTACTTTAGCCTGACCTGAAAAAAGTCATCAGCAAGTATTATTTTACCTCCCAGACATCAGAATGCAAATATTCTTTTCCCTCCCAGGCAGCTTTCCATTGTGCACTTAAAGCTCATCCATAAAAGGAATGGGTAATCCAAAGTGGCTCCTGTGCATATAGCTACTTTGATTTTGACAATTCATTGAGCTGGATAAGGCTTGCTTTTTTTCTGGGGTGCTAAAACCTTCTCACTGCTGGAAAATACATTGTGTGCATGTTCCTAAATTAGACTTCCAAAAATATGCCTCTGTATTCCTTCCACAATGGATTTCAAATTTCTGACTGAAAGATGAGAAGATGGGGAAACTATTTACTCTGACTTCTTAGAAACAACAACAACAAAAAGTAGAAAATGCTGTTCACCTTTCTATACCTAACCTGGAAATTTAAGCCATAAATATTTTCTGTTTAGGTTTCACTGTGCCATATGTCAGCTTTCAATAAATAGCCCAATAGCATCACATCCTAAAGTTTAAATATAGCTAAGCAAAGGCTCAAAGCTAAAGTACATAAATAACAGAATCATCTTAAATGTTTTGATTGGCAAAAAGAGCTGGAGGCTCTATCAATTTCACTGCTCCTGACTCAGTTCCTCCCTATAAAACAAGGTCTATCAAGGCATAAAAAGAATCACTGCAGTAGAACCCTAGTTTTTACTGGTTACACCCATAGAAAACAGGGAACAAAAATATTTACATTTCAAATAATATAAATGGAGAAATGTGAAATATAAATTATTGCCAAATATAAATGATACAGTATTAATACGATAATCAATTGTGTATATTTTCTAAATCTTTATACTTCACATTAATATATTATGCAAAGGAGATAGTGTGTGTTTAAACACCATTAAAATGTACGGTATTATTACAAAAATATCTTACTCCTCTCAAGATATATCCTAAAGAAGAGAAAATAAACCATTGCTCTTTGCCCCTTTTGTATTTTAGATTTTATTTTTTCATGTAAGCATGTGTATGCATAGGTGGATATTTGGTTTCCCCTTTGTTAATGTTTTTTCTTAATTGAATTTTGTGAGCTCAAAGGGAAATCTATACAGATTATACAATGTTTTAAATACAAAGGTAACACCACTTAATCCCATGGGAAAGTATGTTGGAGACAACTATATTTGAGAAGAGCCTTGAGTCAAGATTTTTGTAAAAGTTTTTGTATTTCTAATAGTAATGAAGGATATGTTTTGCTAAAATTGACTATAATGTGGATCATCTATAAATATGGTGCTATTTTACTCAGTTTAATAAAGTATTTGCATTGTCTTTCTAGTAATTTTTTAGGCATTTATGTTGCTCATTTGATCTTCTCAGATAAAAAAAAAAATAGTACTATTTTCCTTGGCACCCCTGTCTTGCTTTTTTTATTTTTGGATCAGCCAACACACACTATGTGGAGCAAAAAACAAAAAGAATTTACAACAGTGCCAATATCAATGTAAAACAAACAACACATGTTTTTAGTTTTTAGTTAATTTGCTCCAAGAAATAGATGGTACTTTCCAAAGATTATATTTTGGAAGGTCTTTAAATCCTTGGAGGATCAAACTATAATTTTGCGTTTGGTAGATTATCATTTCCCTTTTATATTAAAGCCACAGTGATAATACTCCTATTTTTCATAGAGAGTCTATTACCAATTTGAAAGGTCTGATGAGAAATAAAACCTACATGCTTAAAAATCACCAGTAGACACTAACATAGAGAGTGTTGTGTCCATCCAGTGGTATATTGGTCAAAAATTTAATGACCAATTCTCAAAAGAGGTGAAAAACACCCTGTTGTAGGATTTGCCAATTTATGCGGCATAAATACTCCCACTATTTCCTGTTTCAAGCTAACAACATGATATCACTAGATAGAATTGGAAAGAGATGCACAATTGGCTCTCACAAGCGGGTACTTGTTGGCTGCAGCACACCATCGTTGGTGTATTTTTAGTAGCAATGGTTAGAAATACAGTGAAACATATTAGAGACAGATTTTTTACTGGAATCCCTGCCAAAATAAACTTCTGAAAGTGTTGTTCCTTTTTTTTTTTTTTTTTGTAATGGAGTCTCGCTCTGTTGCTCAGGCTGGAGTGCAGTGGCACAATCTTGGCTCACTGCAACCTCGGCCTCCCAGGTTCAAGCGATCCTCCTGCCTCAGCCCCCCAGTAGCTGGAATTACAGGCACACACCACTATGCCTGGCTGATTTTTGTATTTCTAGTAGAGTCGGGGTTTCACCATGTTGGCCAGGCTGGTCTCGATCTCCTGACCTCAGATGATCCACTCGCCTTGGCCTTCGAAAGTGCTGGGATTACAGGCGTGAGCCACCACGCCTGGCCTGAAAGTGTTGTTCTGACTCTCAATCCCCAAAATTGTAAATGTCAACTGAACTCTTTGACCTGGCATCCAAGATCCAAATCAAACATTTCAAATTTCCTTGTAACAACTCTGTTTCCTACATTAACCCGATGAAACTGAACTATTTGATTTGTATCAGTGTACACCAGAGATTTCCTGTGTTAGTGCCTTTAATAGTCCTGTTCTTATTTCTGAAACACCTTTTTTTCCTGATGACCCACATATCTAAATTTGATCTTTCAACAACCTGCTTAAGAACCACCTGCACTGTAATCCTTCTGTCTAAATAGATCTCTCCTTCCTCTGGTATCCTGTGGTCCAGACTTTATCTTCATTCTGGAATCAGTTTTTTCCTGAGTTTATAATTATATGCCTTTGTTTCTTATCTGCACTAATTTGACTACAAGCTCCCTAAGGGCAGGTACCAGGTGTAATTGATCTTTCTATCTCCCTAAGCTTCTAAAACATCATGAACGTCTTGAAATCTACAGTTGTGCCTAATTCATTTATTAGAGCAGAGGAGGAGAGAAAAAGTCTATGTTGTCATTTTAGAAAGAGCATGATCAGTTTTTATCAAGATTTAATTTAAAGCTTGTCTTTCCTTATAATTGCCAATTACAAACTTAGGAATTATGTGGTTTTCTCCTTAGGAATCCCTTCTGTAATTCAGTGAAAGAAATGATGGGTATGACAGGGCTGAGGACACATAATCATACAGATGTGCCAATATATCTTACACATTATTTGATGCAAATAAAGTATTCCCCAAAAAACTCATTTTCATATCTACCATTTTGACTTTTAAGCTCCACAGTACTTGCATCAATCAGAAAACACTATAGTAGTAACCCTTTACTAAGTCTAAAGACATTTCTCTTAGAGAGAATTCATGAATTTTATCTTGACAATACACCTGCAAAGATCACACTTAAGGTTTTAATATTTGAAATCTCAAAAGAATAGATGAAAGCACGGCTGAGAGCAAATGCATAACTTAAATGCAAAGAACAACAACAAAAAACCCCATGAAATCAAAAAGTATGAGGGAGGTAGAGACAAAGACACAAAATCAGAAGCTAAATTTTTACATATTTAAAACTTTATGCTTCAAAAGTCTGTACTTACTAATCAATTTAATAAAGCTGTGGAAAAATTTTACCTTCTGTTACTTATATGATTATTTATTAAGAAACACAGGAGTTCCTTTGTAAACTTTTTGTTAATCTATATGCTCATTAAATATGCAAGAATACGATCTTATTATTTATATGGAAAGGGAGATATGGGCAAGACTATTCTATAAGGTATTTAAAACTGAATATCTTTCTGTAAAACAAATCAAAATAAAAACAAATCCTCTAAACAACAGTGAATGTATTCATCTCAATTCAGCCTTCAGCGCTTATCAGTAAAAACTTTAGTAGACAACATAGTCATCAGAATTACTTTGTCACAACTCTACAAAGATTTTGCTAATTCTTTTCAAGTCCATTTCATTAGTTGGAAAAAAATAAAATATTAAAAAAATTCAAATCCTGATTTAATAAGTGAAGGATTTAAATAAATTACATCCTTTCCATGTTCAATGAACTCTCAATGAATTTCACTGCAATCCATTGCCAAGCAGCTAGACTATATCCTTAGGAATTTCAACAGTGTACTTATATTAAAGTGACAAGTTGAACTAATAGTTTACTTAGTATTTCAGCCTCGCAAGATTATAAATGAGTTGGAATATCTCTTTTTAACTCTATCAATCATCTAAAAATGCAAGATTATAATTAATACATTAATGCTGCTATTTTAAACTTCAAGAAAGTTATGCCTGTGGTAGGATGTTTGTCAATGAAATTCAAGCTATTTAAAGGCAAATTAAAATTTTATATTAGGATTTGTATATGATCGTACACTGGCGGTTACACATAATTTTGACTGATAAATTGACAACTTAGTATTTCTGTGAAGCTGTTTTTCATACAGTGAACATTTCCTTGTAAGTTACAGCAGCCAAGACATTATATTTCTGGATATGTTCATTTTGTTTTTTAGCTCCAGGTCATGGCTCCATCACCAAGGACCAGTGGCCCATGGAAGTTAGAAAGGCAAAGATCATTTAGTACTTTGATGAAAGACTAAGAGAATATCAGTGTATTTATTTTGTAAAAAATGTGTATTCCTAAACATAAACTTTGGTGTATTTTAGAAATTATGAGCCTTATGGGATAACAACCCAGGAAATCTGCTAGAGATCTTTTAGGCTTTCAGTTATGCATAGATTAAATGTTTTGTAGCCCAATCCTCCACATTTTGTCCAATCACTACTTCATTGAACTGACAGGGAAAACAGTAAAGCTAAGATCACTAATTGCAGAAATTGCAATGTAATTTCAACTGAAATGAAGTCAAGAAAAGTAAAATATGTTAAAGAAATTATTTGTATTATTAAGTGCTGGCTTGCTTATGTGCCAATATGCCAAAAGAGGCAATATTTAATTTTTGAAAAAATATTCTCCCTCACTTTTAAAACACATAAATATTAATGAACAAGTATCATCTCTTTCAAGTAGAAAGCTAGGTTTTTTTCCTTCAATAACAACATAAAAATATCTAATATATCGAAAATGCACAGCTATTTTTAGGTTACCTACAACGGTATAATAAACTGAAAATCACAGAAATGTGTTCCTAAAAAATGAGCAACGGCCGGGCGCGGTGGCTCACGTCTGTAATCCCAGTACTTTGGGAGGCTGAGGCGGGTGGATGACGAGGTCAGGAGTTCAAGACCAGCCTGGCCAAGATGGCAAAACCCCGTCTTTACTAAAAAATACAAAAAAAATTAGCTGGGTGTGGGGGCGGGAGCCTGCAATCCCAGCTACTCAGGAGGCCAAGGCAGAGAATCGCTTGAACCCGGGAGGTGTAGGTTGCATGAGCTGAGATCACCCCACTACACTCCAGCCTGGGCAACAGAGTAAGACTCCCTCTCAAAAAAAAAAAAAAAAAAAAAAAAAAGCAACAACTTTATAGCTTCCTGAGCTATAATCTTTATTCAAATAATTATTTGTGTGTATTTGGAAGTAGCCAATAAATAGCTAAATGTAGTTCATTGAGAGAAAATTAATGCATGTATGTTACTCTAAAATCACATGGTAGGTGCTCATAAGAAAAAAAATTTTGTCAGAAGATTTTATACTCAGAAATGCTAGATTTTGTAAAGTGTGTGTCTTAATCTGAGCCATATAATATGATGTACAGAAATCTTCAGAAAGACACATTCATTTAACACAGATTAATTTTCTATTAACATTTATGCATGTATTTAATAAAAGTAAATATATTTAGTTGATAATTCATTCAAGACAAGGATTTCTGATTGTTCACTGAAGAATGTGACATTATCTTTCATGATATATTTTAATTTAATAATATAATATTTTAAGATATCAAGCTATTTATGGTGTTTCTTAATTTAATAAAATATTAAATTTTAATGGATTGCATGGGAAATATTCACACTCGTATTCTTATCACATAATACTGTAATTAAAAGTTAAATTACATTTAGATACTTTAGTTGTTTTAGGATTTTATACTATTTATTAAAATTGATTTATCAATAATCCCATGTCTCACTATAAGATCAAAATGAATATAGAGGCTATTTTTTTGTTTTTTTGAGATGGAGTCTCGGTCTGTCACCCAGGCTAGAGTGCAGTGGTGCGATCTCAGCTCACTGCAACCTCCACCTCCTGGGTTCAAGCGATTCTCCTGCTTCAGCCCCCTGAGTAGCTGGGATTACAGGTACATGCCACCAAACCCGGCTAACTTTTGTATTTTTAGTAGAGATGGGGTTTCGCCGTGTTGTCAGGCTGCTCTCGAACTCCTGAGCTCGTGATCTGCCCACCTCAGCCTCCCAAAGTGCTGGGATTACAGGCATAAGCCACTGTGCCCAGCCTAGAGGCTATTTTTTAAACTGTAATATTTGTGTGGTACTCATACATTTTTTTGCACCTGCTAAACATATACATGGTGTATTAAAATCATTAGAAGTTCAAGGAATAGAACTCAGAATTATTTACTTCTTTTCTGATCTAACTACCAATACATGTCACCTTACATTGACGTTTTTAATGTGAAAATTTAGGAAGAAGCATATATCTTGGGCTGTGATTTCAAAACACTACATGTTTGAATAGTCAGTTTGTGTTGTACTGATTTGCATTGGATTATCGTGAGCAAAGTATCAAGACTGAAACACAAAAACTCTCTTACCGTAGAACAATACAATACAGAACAGTATAGATTTGGTGATTGTATAAGAAAATAATTTTAATTAGGTTTTATAATTTGTAGTCAAGTATATGAATATGCATACTTTTCAAAACGTAATGTTTTAAAAGTCACCATAATTCTATACTTTGTTGAAGGAGGAGTGGCAAAATTAAGAATAAGTAGCATTCTAAAGTGACTATAGTTGGTAAAAATATATTGTATAATTCAAAGTAGGTGGAAAAGAGGACATGAAATGTTACCAACCCATACAAATGATAAATAGTCAAGGTGATGGATGCTTCAAATACACTGACTTGATCATTACTCATTCTATACATGTGACAAATACTCACAAGTATCCCATAAATATGTAAAATATTATGTCTTAGGTAAATAAAAAAGTAGCATTATTTCTCTTTTTTTCATGTGCAGATATATTGAGATTTTAGATATAATCAATAACATAATCAGCAATTTCTAAAACATTCAAAACATGTAGCAATAGTTTTGTCTTAATAATGAAATTCTGAAACTATTGAATGAGGAAATATTTATCCAATTTTCAAAATGCATTAATTAGTCTTTGGTAAAATCTCTGTCCCACCCCAGAGAAAAATGGCCAACCAGAAGCCTCCACTGATTGTCCACTTGACAGGAACATAAAAGTCTAACAACTAACTACACACACAAAAAAAGCAATGTCATAAGGTCAAAAATCAGGTTAGCAATCACATTACTTGGTTTTAACTTCATATCACCAAAAGAGGCACTGAGAAGGCTAGGAAAGACAGTCGTGTATCATGGATGTCACCCCTCCCATATCGCTGGCAGTGGCTGTATGCAAGGAGAGAATCTTTGCACTTGGGAGAGAGAAACAACAGCGACTGGAGGACTTGGCATTGGACTCAGTGCTGCCCTGTCACAGTGGTGAGCAAAGTCTTGCTGGGCTCAGCCATCACCCACCCACAGAATGAACATTTGGACCAGCCCTAGCCAGAGGGGAATTCCCCATCCCAGTGGTTGGAACTTGAGTTTCTCATCAAGCCTTGCCACCATGGGGTAAAGCGCTCTGAGATCCTGGGTAAATTTGAAAGGCAGTCAAAAGCACAAAGACTAAAATTCCTAAGCATGTCCTAGTGCTGGGCTGGGCCTAGAGCCAGGGGACCAGAGCAACATGTGACCTAGGGAGACATCAACCGGGGAAACTAAGGGAGTGCTTGTGTCAACTTCCCCCTCCAATCCCCCCAGCCCCAGGCAGTGCTTGAGGAGAGGAGAGCAAAGAGTAAAGAGGACTTTGCCTTGCATCTTGGATACCAGCTCAGCCAAAATAGGATAGGGCACTAGGCAGAGTTGTGAGGTCCCTATTTCTAGGCCCTGGATGTTGGATGACATGCTAGACATACCCTGGGCCAGAAAGTAATCTGCTGATTTGAAGGGAAGGACACAATTGTGGCATAATTCAATAGGCTCTGAGTAACCATCAGTGATAACCAGATAGTACATGGTGGGACTTCAGTGAGATTGTGAGACATGCTGGCTTCAGGTGACACCCAGCACATTCCCAGCTGTGGTGGCTGTGATGAAAGACTCCTACTGCTTCAGAAAAGCAGAGGGAAAAGCAAAGGGAACTTTTCTTACACCTTAGGTATCAGCTTAGCCACAGTGGGGTACAGCATAAAGCAGGCTCTTGGGGTCCCTAAGTCCAGGCCTAGCCTCTTGGATAACATTTATGAACGTGCCCTGGGCCAGAGGGGAGCCCACTTCCCTGAAGGGTGAGTCCCAGGCCTGGCAGCATTTACCACAAGCTGACTGAGCAGCCCTTGGGCTTTAAGTGAACATTAGCAGTGGCCTGGCAGAAATCCCTGTGGGCTGGTGGTGGTGGTGTCCACTGGGAGAGGCTCCTCTGCCTGTGAAAAGGGGAGAGAAGAGGAGAAGGACTTTGTCTTGTGGTTCAAGAACCAGCTTAGCCATAGTACAATAGAATACCAGGTAGATTTTTAAGGTATTTGACTCTAATTCTTAGTTCCCAGATAGCATCTCTGGACCTGCACAGGGCCTGGAAAACTTGCTGCCCTGAAGAAGAGGTCACAAACATGGCTGGATTTCCCACCTGCTGATTGTAGAGCCCTAGGGCCTTGAGTTAACATAGAAAGGAGCCTGGTAGTGGTTACAGTGGGCCTTGGGTGAGACCCAGTGCTGTGCTGGTTTCAGGTCTGCCCAAGCACAGTCACAGTGTTGGTGCCTCCAACTTTAATTCTTCCAAATCTTTTACAAGACCACGAAGGCAGTGCTTCTATGAGTCTCCATGGATGACAGTAGTATTGGGCTTGGGGTTCAAGTCTCTTTTAGGACCTGGAAAGTGGTATTAGTCCATTTTCACACTGCTGATAAAGATTTATCCAAGACTGGGCAACTTATACAGGAAAGAGGTTTATTGGATTTACAGTTCCAGGTGGCTGGAGAGGCCTCATAATCATAACAGAAGGGGAAAGGCAAGTCTCACATGGCAGCAGACAAGAGAAGAGAGCTTGTGCAGGCAAACTCTCATTTTTAAAACCATCAGATCTCCTGAGACTCATTCACTTTCACAAGAACAGCATAGGAAAGACCCGTCCCCATTTCAATCACCTCCCTCTGGGTTCCTCCCACGACACATGGCAATTGTGGGTGTTACAATTCAAGATGAGGTTTGGGTGGGGACTCAGCCAAACCATATCATTCCACCCCTGGCCCTTCCCAAATCTCATGTTCTCACATTGCTTTCAAACTGTGCTGGCAGAGGTTCTTCTTGAGAACGCTGCCCCTGCAGCAAACTTCTGCCTGGACATCCAGGCATTTCCATACATCCTCTGAAATCTAGTCAGAGGTTCCCAAACCGCAATTCTTGACTTCTGTGCAATTGCAGGCTCTATACCACGTGGATACTGCCAAAGCTTGAGGCTTGCACCCTCTGAAGCCATGGCCTGAGTTCCATGTTGGCCCTTTTCAGCCATGGCTGGAGCTCCTGGGACTTAGGGCACCAAGTCCCTGGGCTGTACACAGCATGGGGACCTTGAGCCTGGCCCACAAAACCATGTTATCCTCCTAGGCCTCTGAGCCTGTGATTAGAGGGGCTGCCATGAAGACCTCTAACATGCCCTGGACCCCTTTGTCTTGGGGATTAACATTGGGCTCCTTGTTACTTGTGCAAATTTCTTCAGCCCGCTTGAATTTCTCCTCAGAAAATGAGATTTTCTTTTCCATTACATTGTCAGGCTCTGAATTTTCTGAACTTTTATGCTCTCCTTCCCTTATAAAACTGAATGCCTTTAACAGCACCCAAGTCACATCTTGAATGATTTGCTGCTTAGAAATTTCTTCCACCAGGCAACCTACAGAATAGGAGAAAATTTTTGCAATCTACCCACTGGACAAAGGTCTAATATCCAGAATCTACAAGGAACTCACACAAAGTTACAAAAAAAAAAAAAAAAAAAAAAAACCCCACAAACAACCCCATCAAAAAGGGGGCAAAGGATATGAACAGACACTTCTCAGAAGAAGACATTTATGTGGCCAACAAACATACAAAAAAAAAACCTCAACATCACTGATCATTAGAGAAATACAAATCAAAACCACAATGAGATACCATCTCATGCCAGTCAGAATGATGATTATTAAAAAGTCAAGAAACAATAGATGCTGGAGGCTGTGAACAAATAGGAATGCTTTGACACTGTTGGTGGGAATGTAAATTAGTTCAACCATTGTGGAAGATAGTGTGGCAACTCTTCAAGGATCTAGGACCAGAAATACCATTTGACCAACCAAAGGAATCCCAAAGGAATATAAATCATTTTACTATAAAGATACATGCACACTATGTTTATTGCAGCACTATTTACAATAGCAAAAACATGGAACCAACCCAAATGCCCATCAGTGATAGACTGGATAAAGAAAATGTGGTACATATACACCATGGAATACTATGCAGCCGTAAAAAGGAATGAGATCTTGTCCTTTGCAGGGACATGGATGAAGCTGGATGCCAACATCCTCAGCAAACTAACACAGGAACCGAAAACCAAAAACCACATGTTCCCACTCATAAGTGGGAGTTGAACAATGAGAACACATGGACACAGGGAGGGTAACATCACACACTGGGGCCGGTTGGGAGGTAGGGGGTGAGGGGAGCGACAGCATCAGGACAAATAGCTAATGCATGCGAGGCTTAGAACCTAGATGATGAGTAGATAGGTGCAGCAAACCACCATGAAACACGTATACCTATGTAATGAATCTGCATTTTCTGCACATATATCCCAGAATTTAAAATAAAATAAAATGAAATAAAATAAAATAAATCTCTTCTACCAGATACCCTAAATCATATCTCTCAAGTTCAAAGTTTCAGAAATTTCTAGGGCATGGGCAAAATGCCTCCAGTCCCTTTGCTAAAATATAACAAGAATCACCTTTGCTCCAGTTCCCAACAAGTTCCTCATCTTCATCTGAGACCACGTCAGCCTGGACTTTATTGTCCTTATCACTATCAGAATCTTGGGCAAAGCCATTTAACAAGTCGCTAGGAAATTCCAAACTTTCTCAAATTGTCCTGTCTTCTTCTGAGCCCTCCAAACTGTTCCAACCTCTGCCAACCAGTTCCAAACTTGCTTCCACATTTTCGGGTATCTTTTCAGCAGCGCACCTCTCTACTGGTTCCAATTTACTGTATTAGTCCATTTTCATGCTTGGGTATGATAAAGACATACCCAAGACTGCACAATTTATACAGGAAAGAGGTTTATTGGACTTACAATTCCACGAGGCTGGGGAGGCCTCACAATCATGGTGGAAGGTGAAGGGCATATCTCACACGGCAGCAGACAAGAGAAGAGAGATTGTGCAGGCAAACTCCCATTTTTAAAACCATCGAATCTGGTAAGACTATTCACAATCATGAGAACAGTGCAGGAAAGACCTGCCCCCATAATTCAATCACCTCCCACCGCGTTCCTCCCATGACAAGTGGCAATTGTAGGAGTTACAATTCAAGATGAGGTTTTGGTGGAGACAAAGCCAAACCATATCAAAGACCATCAGAAGAAAGATGGGAAACAGAATCCCAGACTGTGAAGAGTACAATAAACACCTAACTCCTCAATACACAGACATAAACAAACATCTACGAGCATCAGTAACCTCCAGGAAAACATATTCTCACCAAAGGAACTAAATAAAACATCACAGATCAATCCTGAAGAAACAGAGATATATGCCCTTTGAGACAGATAATTCAAAATATCTGCTTTGAGAAAACTCAAAGAGATTCAAGATAGCACAGAGTATGAATTTAGAATTCTATCAGATAAACTTACAAAGAGATAGCAATAATTTAAAAGTATCAAGCAGAAATTATGGAGTTGAAAATTGAAATTGGCATACTAAAGAATGCATCGACTCTTTTAACAGCAGAATTAATCAAGCAGAAGAAATAATTAGTGAACGTAAAGACAGGCTATTTGAAAAGTCAACGTAGATAAAAGAAAAAAGAATATGAAAGCATAAAGCACACTTGAAAGCTATTGCTATCTAGGTAATAACCTCGAAAGGGCACATATAAGAGTTATTGGCCTTCAAAAGGAGGTAGAGAAACAGATAGGGGTAGAAAGTATATTTAAATGGATAATATCAGGAAATTTCTCAAACCTAGAGAGTGATATCAACATTCAAGTACAAGAAAGTTATAGAACACCAAGCAGATTTAACCTAAAGAAGACTACCTCAAGGCATTTAATAATCAACTTCCCAAAGGTCAATTCTAAGGAAAAGAACCTAAAAGCAGCAAGAGAGAAGAAACAAATAACATACAACAAAGCTCCATTACATCTGGCAGCAAACTTTTCAGTCGAAACCTTACAGGCCAGAAGAGATAGTCAGGACATATTTAAAGTGCTGAAGGAAAAAACTTTTACCAGATAATAGCAAAAATTGGCAAAAATATCCCTGGAGCATGAAGGAGAAATAAATATTTTCCCAGAGAAACAAAAGCTGAGGAATTTCATAAACACCAGATACGTGCTACAAGAAATGCTAAAGGGAATGCTTCAACCTGAAAGAAAAGGACATTAATGAGCAGGAAGAAATCATCCTAAGGTATAAAACTCACTGGTGACAGTAAGCACACAGAAAAACACAGAATAATATAACACTGTAACTGTGGTGTATAAACTACTGTTATCCTAAGTAGAAAGTCTAAACAATTAACCACTCAAAAATAATAATTACAAGACAGTATAATAAGATATAAACAGAAACAAAAAAGTTAAAAACTAGGGAAACAAAGTTAAGGTGTAAAGTTTTTATTAGTTTTATTTTTGCTTGTTTGTTTATGCAAACAATGTTAAGGTGTTATCAGCTTAAAATAATGGGTTATAAGATGATATTTGCAAGCCTCATGGTAATCTCAAAAAACAACACTAAAATGGATATACAAAAATTAAAGACCAAGAAATTAAATCTTGCCACCAGAGAAAATCACCTTCAGTAAAAGTAAGACAGGAAGGATGAAGAAAAGGAAGAAAAGACCACAAAACAAACAGAAAACCAATAACAAAAAGGAAGGAGTAAGTCTTTACTTATCAATAATTACATTGAATATAAATAGACTAAACTCTCCATTCAAAAGGCATAAAACAGCTGAATGGATAAAAAAAGCAATTCCCAATGATGTGTTGATTACAATAAACATAGTTCATCTATAAACGTACACACAGACTGAAAATTTACAAAATGAAAAAAGATATTCTGTGTCAACGGAAACCAAAAAAGAGCAGGAGTAGCTATACTGATATCAGACAAAATGGATTTCAAGGCAAAAACTGAAAAAAGAGACAAAGAAGGTTATAGTATAATGATAAAGTAGTCAATTCAGAAAGAGGATATAACAATAGTAAATAAATATTCACCCAATGCTGGAGCACCCAAATATATATAAAAAATATTAGAGTTAAAGAGAGTAATAGACCCCAACACAATAATAGCTGGAGACTTCAGCACCCCACTTTTAGCACTGGACAGATCTTTCAGGCAGCAAATTAAACATCTGACTTAATCTGCACTATAGAGCAAGTGGACCTAATAGATATTTACAGAACATTTCATCCAACAGCTGCATAATACGCATCCTTTTCTTCAGCACATGGATCATTCTCAAGGATAGACCATACCTTAAGTCACAAAATGGGTCTTTAAACATCCAAAAAGTTGAAATCATATCAAGCATCTTCTAAAAACACCATTTGATAAGCCTAGAAATCAATAACAAGAGGTATTTGGGAACTATACAAACACAGGGAAATTAAATAAAATGCTGAATTACCAGTGAGTCAATGAAGAAATTAAGAAGAAAATTGAAAGATGTTTTAAAACAAATGATAATAAAAACACAACATATCAAAACCTATGGGAACAGCAAAAGTACTCCTAAGTGGAAAGTTTATAGCTGTAAGTGCTTACATTTAAAAAAAAAAAGAAAAAGAAAAACTTCAAATACATAACCTAACTATGCATCTTAAAAAACTGGAAAAACAAGAGCAAACCAAACTCAACATTAGTAGAAGAAAATAAATAATAAAGATTGGAGGAGAAATAAATGAAATTGAAATAAGGAAATGATACACAAGATCAAAGAAATGAAAAGTTGGCTTTTTGAAGACATAATTGACAAACTTTTAGGCAAACTGAGAAGAAAGAGAGAAGACACAAATATACAAAATCAGAGATGAAAAAGGAGACATTATGACTGAAACCACAGTAATTTAAAGGATTATTTAAAGGACTAATTTAAAGGATTATGAGCTACTCTGTGTCTATAAAGGAAAACCTAGAAGAAACAAATTAATTCATAGACACATACAACCTACAAACATTGAAGCACGCAGAAATCCAAAACCTGAAAAGACCACTAACAAGTAATAAGAACAAAACAATAATATGAAGTTTCTAGAAAAAAAAAAAAAAGGCCTGGGACCCAATGGCTTCACTGTTGAATTCTACCAAACATTTATAGAAGAACTAATGCCAATCCTACTCAAACTACTCCAAAGAATAAAGCAGAAGGGAATACTTCCAAATTCATTCTATGAGGCCAGTATTACTCTCATACCAAAAGCAAAGACATGTGAAGAAAGAAAACTACAAGCCAATACCTCTGATGAATATTGATGCAAAAATCCTCAATAAAATACTAGCAAACTTAATCCAACAATACATTTAAACTGATCATTTGCTGGGCCCAGTGACTTATGCCTAAAATCCCAGTACTTTGGGAGGCTGAGGTGAGCAGATCGCTTGAGCCCAGGAGTTCAAGACCAGCCTGGGCAACATGGAGAAACCCTATAGCTACAAAAATGTAGCCAGGCATGGTGGCGAACACCTGTAGTCCCAGTTCCTTGGGAGGCTGAGATGGGAGAATCACATGAGCCCAGGAAGTTGAGACAGCAGTGAGCCGTCATTGCATTAGCCTCAAAAAAAAAAATCATTTATCATGGTCAAGTGGGATTTATCATAGGGATTCAAGAATTATTCAACATATGCAAATCAATTGATGTGGTACATCATAGCAACAGAATGAAGGACAAAACTATATGATCATTTCAACTGATCCCAGAAAAGTATTTGATAAAATTCAACATCCCTTCATGATAAAAACCCTGAAAAAACTAGAGATAGAAGAAACATACCTCAATATAATAAAAGGCATATACAACAGGCCCACATTGAGTATCATACTGAATGGGAAAAAAACTGAAAGCCTTTCCTCCAACATCTGGAACACAACAAGGATACCCACTTTAACCATTGTTATTCAACATAGCACTGAAAGTCCTAGCTAGGGCAATTAAACAAGAGAAAGAAATAAAGGGCATCCAAATTGGAAAGGAAGAAGTAAAATTATCTTGGTTTGCTGATGATATGATCTTATACTTGGAAAAACCTAAGGACCCCACAAGAACACTCGTACAACTGGTAAACAAATTTAGTAAAATTGCAGGATAGAAAATAAACATGGAAAAATCAGTAGCATTTCTATATGCTAGCAGTGACCAATGTAAAAAGGAAAAAAAAGTAAGCCCATTTACAATAGCCACAAATAAAAGTGAATACCGAGGAATTAACCTAACCGAAGAACTGAAAAATCAAGACAATGAACATTATAAAACAGTGCTGGAAAAAACTGTAGAGGACACAAAAATGGAAAGACATTCCATGTTAATGAATTGGAAGAACGAATATTGTTAAAATGGCCACACTACTCAATGCAATCTCCAGATTCAACGAAATCCCTAAAAGAATACCAATGACATTCTTCACAGAAATAATTTTTAAAAATCTTAAAATTTATATGCGAACACCAAACACCCAGAGTAAACAAAGCTATCTTGAGAAAAAAGAATAAAACCGGAGGAATAACATTACATGACTTTAAATTTTACTACAAAGCTATAGTAACAAAAATGGCATGCACTGACATTAAAAACAGACACATAGATCAGTGGAACAGAATAGAGAACCGAGAAATAAATCCATACACCTACAGTGAACTCGTTTTCAACAAAGGTGCCAAGAACATACTCTGGGGCAAAGACAGTCGCTTCAGTAACTGATGTTGGGAAAACTGGATATCCATGTGCAGAAGAATGAAACTAGATCCCTGTCTCTCACCATATACAAAAAAGTCAAATCACAATGAATTAGGCTTAAATCTAAGACATGAAATTATGAAATGAACACAAGAAAACATTGAAGATATGCTCCAGGACATTGGTCTGGGCAAAAATTTCTTGAGTCATACCCTACAAGCCAAGGCAACCAAAGCAAAAATGGACAAATGGCATCATATCAAGTTAAAAAGCTTCTATGCAGCAAAGAAAACATTTTGCCAAGTGAAGAGACATCACACAGAATGGGAGAAAATATTTAAAAGCTACACATCTGATAAAGGATTAATAACCAGAACATATGAGGAGGTTAAACAACTCTATAGGAAAAAAAATCTAATAATCTGATTAAAAATGGGCAAAAGATTTCAATAGATATTTCTAAAAACCAGAAATATAAATAGCAAACAGGTATATGAAAAGTTGCTCAACGTTGATTGTTAGACAAATGTAAATCAAAACTACAATGAGATATAATGTCACCCCAATTAAAATGAAATATCTAAAGTCAGGCAATAACAAATGTTGGTTAGGATGTGGAGTATAGGGAACTCTTGTACCCTGTTAGTGGGAATGTAAATTAGTACAATCACTATGGAGAAAAGTTTGGAGGTTCCTCAAAAAACTAGATATAAAGCTACCATACAATCCCGCCATCCCACTGCTGCATATATACCCCAAAGAAAGGAAACCAGTATAATGAAGTGATATCTGCACCCCCATGTTTGTTGCAGCACTGTTCACCATAGCCAAGACTTGAAAGCAATCTAAGTGTCCATCAACAGACGAATGGATAAAAGAAAGTCATACATATACACAATGATATTCAATCATAGAAAGGCTGAGATCCTGTCATTTGCAACAGCATGGATGGAAATGAAGATCATTGGGTTAAGTGAAATAAGCCAGGCACAGAAAGACAAACTTTTCATGTTTTCACTTCTTTGTGGGATCTATAAATGAAAACAATTGAACTCATGGACATTGAGAGTAGACAGATGGTTACCAGAGGCTGGGGAGAGTAGTTCGAGGGTTGGGGGAGATGGGGATGGGTAATGGGTAAAAAATAAAATAGAAAGAATGAATAAGACCTAGTATTTTCTAGCACAGCAGGGTGACTATAGTCAATAATAATTAAATAGTACATTTTAAAATAACGTAAAGTGAAACTGGATTGTTTGTAACACAAAGCATAAGTGCTTGAGGGGATAGATGCCCTATTTTGATGTAATTATTATGCATTGCACACCTGTATCAAAGTATCTCATCTACCTCATAAATATATATACCTAATATATACCCACAAAAATTAAAAATTAAAAAAAAACTAAAATAAAAAATCTTTGCCCAACCAGAAAATATTATAATATTGTAAAACCACTCAGTTACTATTTAGAAATATAGCTTGGCCAGGAGCGATGGCTGACACATGTAATCCCAGCACTTTGAGAGGCCAAGGCGGGCAGATCACGAGGTCAAGAGATTGAGACCATCCTGGCCAGCAAGGTGAAACTCCATCTCTACTAAAAATACAAAACTTAGCTGGGCATGGTGGCACATGCCTGTAGTCCCAGCTACTTGTGAAGCTGAGGGAGGAGAATCGCTTGAACCTGGGAGGTGGAGGTTGTAGTGAGCCGAGATCATGCCACTGCACTCTAGCCTGGCCACAGAGCAAGACTCCATCTCAAAAAAGATTGAAATATATCTTAACTGAAATGTTGAAATCTACTTATTGTTTCTCTTTGCGTCTTATTGGCCTGAATTTCTAATATCAATCAACACCCCCATCTGAAATGGACAAATCAATTAAGATTTCTCTTTATGTAATAGGTGATATAATAAGGTTTTAAATTATGAAAAATTATGTTCAAATGCAATGTTCATTAAGCAACATTTCTAAAATCCAAAAAGCTTCTCTTTATTTTTAGAAATATTTTGTACTACCTAATGTTCAAAACAATTTTGAAATGTACTCCCTCTCCCCCATTTCTTTGCAAAAAGTTTCCTAAAACAGCATATGCTACTATAAGCCTAAACAACAACTCACCTGTACTAGGATTATATTGGTAAACTAAAGGAAGTGTGTGTGGTAGTCTTTCATATCTGGTGAATTTAGATAAATTTTGACAAAAGAATCTTAATTACATTGGGAGCTCTACAATCTCATATTCATTATAAATGCCTGATTTCCTCCAACTTCTGATGATGTCACATATTTTAACTAGAAAGAGGGAGAAATTTCAGCCTCACTTGAATGCCCAAAGTGAAATTGAGTTCAGTGGCAATCCAATAAACTGCGATAGAAAGACAGTTAACAGTAATGGGAGAAGGATTCGAGCATATAAAATAATGCTAATTATGTTCAATCATTACCCACGGGAGGTGGTGATAAAAGGGACACTGGACTTTAGATATAATCTTCGAAAACTTTGCCATCAGTCAACTTGCTCTTAAAGACTAGGGCCACTGAAGTCTCCTTTAATCAGCAGTTGTCCCTGTCCTGTAGCAGATGTGCATTTTGCCAACAAACTGAGTCACATTCTCATAATGCATAAGCTACTCCTGGGGAGTGTAATAAGCCTTTCTGGAAGCTACATTAACTCTTTAAAGCACTGAAGCAGTAATTTTCAATGGTATCCTTCTGGCCCAACAAAAAGACAAGAAAATGGCAAAACCAAGAGTGTGTGTACATTGCTCATGATGGGTCATTGATTCTTCCTTCCAACCTGGCACAATTTGCAGTTTTAGCAAAAAATCTCAGAAGGAGAACAAAGAGAGCTTGTCTTTGCTGTTTCTGTTATTGCTGTGTTTTTGGCCTCCTTTGTACCAATGTTTGTACCTGGTGAGTCCTAGAGAAAGTATTCAGAGGGCAAACAAGTAGAGAGTAATTCATGAGTATCTGGGCTTCATGGTATTTTAAAAATGAAATGTGATAATCACTTATAAATGGCAATTCATAGAGAAGAGCAAAGAAGCTAGTTTGAGTGAGGGAGAAAGTAGTAGGAAAAGAAATGGTAGACCTGAAGGAAGATCTCGTAGGGCCTTGTAGACCACTGTAAGGACCTTGGGTTTTACTCTAAATGAGAAGCAGACTTTGGAGATTTGAAAAGAGGAATTAGCTGACTTCCTTTAATAGAACCTCTCCCAGCTATATTGAGAAGACAGTGTGATAAAGAAGATGTGAAAACAGGAGACAATTATAGAGACTATTGGAATAATTCAGGTGAAAGATAATGGTGACTTGGACCAGTGTAGAAATAGTGAAGAAGGTAAGTTAATAAATTGTAGGTCTGACTTCTATTCACAAGCAAGAAGCTTATAAATAAGGATCAAACCTTCAAATCTGTCCTAATCCTTACTGTCACCATCTTACAGAATATGAAGTATGTAATATTACCCACAGATATACTTTGGAGAGGTTTCTGCCAATTTTCCAAGACTTCCCTCACTGTGTGATCTTTAAATTTTAACACTTACCTTTGTTTCTCTTAGTTAATAAGCTTTTGATGACACTGACTATGCAGGGAGCATTACACTTGCCACTATAAGACAATTAAATAATAATATTTAGAAAACTCTAAACTTAAATGGTAAGTTAAACTCTTAAGGGTAAGATTAGATATTTAGAAAGCTGGGACAAGCATCATTAAAAAATTTAATTAAAAAGTTCACAGTATGGACTCATCTATGACAAATTGAAAGAAAGAAAATAAAGTCAAATGGAGAAAGCCTATAAATGCTTTTTAGCAAGAAAACATCAAATATAAAATATGCCTAATTCAGATGGAAAGAAAATGACATAATAAATTGAATTTTCTTGCAATTCAATGACATGACAATGGTCATGTACACATTTGTAACAATAACTTAGATCTCGTGTCCTGGCTGAAACATTGAATATTAAGTCAGTTCCCACTGGATTATTATAGTTTTGTTTATATAAGTGAATTTCAGATACTTAACTATATTTTTGCAGCTATATTGCAATATTATATGTATTTTATAATGCTTTTTTATGCATGGACTAACTACTAAGCATAATTCATAAATCTAATATTCATGCATTGGTGAAAAGGAGAGTGATACGGTATTACTTTCATGCTTCTCTTGCTATGCTATATATAAGATGTAATAAACTTAATTTATGACTACCGTTTCTCTTTCTTGGCCATAATAAACATGGACCCTAGGGCTATTTAACTGTTCTGCATATGTCCTATCCTTCAGTTAAGAAACAATCAGTAAAAATTGCTTCGGCCCCCTATGTTCTATATTATTTGACGTCTAGATAGCTGGTAGATGTAAATTTGGCTACTGTAAATGCATTTAGATCCCGACTAGGAGTTTTCTTTTACAGGCCAATAAGCCCCTTGGTAATTGTATTCCAATGAAATAAGGAAGCTAAATTATTAGATCATACCAATATATTATCATATTATTATAAAAATGACACTATCATTGAGACACATTCATACATAAATATAATATGCAAATAAGGCACATTATATGTGTCATACACTATGTGTGTGGGTGCTGTGTGTGTGTGTATATATACACATACACACAAATACTGGATATTTTAGCACAAGGAAGAAATTTAAAACGTGTACCTTAACAAAATGCAAAACATAGCCACTAAAATGGCAATATGTATCCCTTATGATTGTGTAGAATAAACAGTCATCACATTCACATTCCCAAAGAAGACAGGGCAAAAGATGAAGAAAGATAGGCTAAATTGCAAGTGGATACAATTCTTTCCTTTTAGTCTAGAAGCGTCCCTTTATGGCATCAGAGTAGCAATTTTCCTCCCAGCATTTACCTTCTAATCAGGGAACAGGGAATAGAACCCCCAGGTAATAACTATGTTCATCTTGAAGGAGATATAGCTTCTATTCTCACATGACACATGGAGAAGAAAACAGGTAATAGAGTAAAAGTTTTCTTTTCTCCTTTCTACCTGTGCCCTACCCTTATGCAATGTTTGACATAAGAACCATAGTACTCAGAAACACATGCTCACAGGGATTTAATGCCTAAAATTGGAAAATTATTCTTCCTCCAAATTCCAAAAGGGAATCCATAGATACTATTTTGTTTCATTCACATCACTTGTTAAACCCCTATCATTTTCTCTTAAGAATGGATAATGAGTGTTCCTTGAGTCTTATGGGAAATGTATCCCCTCTTTTAGCCACACATTCCTCCAGTGTGAGTGATCTACAGCAGGAGTTGGCTTTTTTTTTCTGTAAAAAGGCAGATAGTAAATAATTTATGATTGTTGAACCATATGGTTTCTATTGCAAGTAGTCATCCTGCCACTGTAGTGTGAAAGCAGCAATAGGCATTACATAAATGAATGGCTGTGGCTTTGTTCTAATAAAACTTCATTTATGGACACTGAAATTTCACTTAATTTTCACATATCACAAAACATTGTCCTTCTTTTGATTTTTTCTTAACTTTTAAGTTCAGAGGTACATGTGGAGGTTTGTTATATAGGTAAACTTGTGTCATGGGTGTTTGTTGTACAGATTATTTTATCACCCGGGAATTATGCTTAGTACCTATTAGTTATTTTTGCTGATCCTCTCCCTCCTCCCACCCTCCACCTTCCAGTAGGCCCCAGTGTCTCTTGTTCCCCTCTATGTGTCCAGAAGTTCTCCTTGTTTAGCTCTCACTTACAGGTGAGAACACACGATATTTGGTTTGCTGTTCCTGTATTAGTTTGCTAAAGTAATGGCCCCCAGCTTCATCTATATTCCTGCATGAGCTCCTTCTTTTTTATGGTTGCATAGCATTCCATGGTGTATATGTACCACATTTTCTTTATCCAGTCTATCATCAATGGGCATTTTGGTTGGTTCCATGTCTTTGCTATTGTAAACAGTGCTGCAATAAACATATGTGTGCTTGTGTCTTTATAGTAGAATGATTTATATTCCTTTGGGTATATACCCAGTATTGGGATTGCTGGATCAAATGGTATTTCTAGATCTAGATCCTTGAAGAATCGCCACACTGTCTTACACAATGGTTGAACTAATTTACATTCCCACCAACAGTGTCAAAGCATTCCTATTTCTCCACAGCCTCCAGCATCTATTGTTTGTTGACTGTTTAATAATCGCCATTCTGACTGGTGTGAGATGGTATTTCATTGTGGTTTTGATTTGTATTTCTCTAACAATCAGCAATGTTGATCTTTTTTTCATAAGGTTGTTGGCTGCATAAATGTCTTCTTTTGAGAAGTGTCTGTTCATATCTTTTGTCCACTTTTTGATGGGGTTGTTTGTTTTTTTTTCTTGTAAATATGTGTGAGTTCCTTGCAGATTCATATCCTTTGTCCACTTTTTGATGGGGTTGTTTGGTTTTTTTCTTGTAAATTTGTGTGAGTCCCTTGCAGATTCTGGATATTAGACCTTTGTCAGATGGGTAGATTGCAGAAATTTTCTCCCATTCAATGGGTTGCCTGTTCACTCTGATGATAGTTTTTTTTTTGCTGTGCAGAAGCTCTTTAGCTTAATTAGATCCCATTTGTCAATTTTGGCTTTTGTTGCAATTGCTTTTGGCGTTTTCATCATGAAGTCCTTGCCCATGCCTATGTCCTGAATGGTATTGCCTAAGATTTCTTTTTGGGTTTTTTATGATTTTGAGTTTTATATTTAAGTCTTTAATCAAGACTTTTCTGCATATGGCTAGCCAGTTTTCCCAGCACCATTTGTTAAATAGGGAATCCTTTTCCCAATTCCTATTTTTGTCAGGTTCATCAAAGATCAGATGGTTGTAGATGTGTGGTGGTATTTCTGAGGTCTCTATTCTATTCCATTGTATGTCAGTACCACGAAGTTTTGCTTATTGTAGCCTTGTAGTATAGTTTGAAGTCAGGTAGCATGATGCCTCCAGCTTTGTTTTTTTTGTTTTTTGTTTTTTGTTTGTTTGTTTTTGCTTAAGATTGTCTTGGCTATAAGGGCTCTTTTTTGGTTCCATATGAAATTTAAAGTAGTTTTTGCTAATTTTGTAAAGAATGTCAATGGTAGTTTAATGGGAACAGAATTGAATCTATAGATTACTTTGGGCAGTATGGCCGTTTTCACGATATTGATTCTTCCTATCTATGAGTCTGGAATGTTTTTCCTTTTGTTTGTGTCCTCTGTTATTTCTCGAGCAATGGTTTGCAGTTCTCCTTGAAGAGATCCTTCATATCCCTTGTTAGCTGCATTCCTAGGTGTTTTATTCTCTTCATAGCAATTGTGAATGGGAGTTCATTCATGATTTGGCTCTCTGCTTGTCTGTTGTTGGTGTATAGGAATGCTTGTGATTTTTGCACATTGATTTTGTATCCTGAGACTTTGCTGAAATTGCTTACCAGCTTAAGTAGTTTTGGGGCTGAGACGATGGTGTTTTCTAAATATAGAATCATGTTGTCTGCAAACAGAGACAAGTTGACTTTCTCTCTTCCTATTTGAATACCGTTATTTATTTATCTTGCCTGATTTCTCCAGCTGGAACTTCCAACACCATGTTGAATAGGAGTGGTGAGAGAGGGCATCCTTGTCTTATGCTGGTTTTCAAAGGGAATGCTTCCAGCTTTTGCCCATTGAGTATGATATTGGCTGTGTATTTGTCATAAATAGCTCTTATTATTTTGAAATATGTTCTATTAATACCTAGTTTATTGAGAGTTTTTATCATGAAGGAATGTTGAATTTTATCAAAGGCCTTTTCTGCATCTGTTGAAATAATCATGTGGTTTTAGTCATTGGTTCATTTATTTGATGGATTATGTTTGTTGATTTGTGTATGTTGAATCAGCCTTGCATCCCAGGGATGAAGCCGACTTGATTGTGGTGGATAGACTTTTTGATGTCCTGCTAGGTTTGGTTTGCCAGTATTTTTTTGAGGATCTTTGCATTGATGTTCATCAGAGATAGTGGCCTGAAGTTTTCTTTTTTTGTTGTGCCTCTGCCAGGCTTTGGTATCAGGATGATGTTGGCCTCATAAAATGAGTTAGGGAGGAGTCCCTCCTTTACAATTGTTTGGAATGGTTTCAGAAGGAATGGTACCAGCTCCTCTTTGTAACTCTGGTAGAATTCAGTTTTGAATTTATCTGGTCCTGGGCTTTTTTTTTGGTTGGTAAGCTTTTAATTACTGCCTCAATTTCAGAACTTGTTATTGGTTTATTCAGGGATTCTACTTCTTCCTGGTTTACTCTTGGGAGGGTGTATGTGTCCAGGAATTTATCCATTTCTTCTCGGTTTGCTAGTTTATTTGCATAGAAGTATTTATAGTATTCTCTGATGGTAGTTTGTATTGCTTTGTGGTCGGGGTGATATCCTCTTTATCATTTTTTATTGTGTCTATTTGATACTTTTCTTCTTTATTAGTCTAGCTAGTGGTCTGTCTATTTTGTTAATTTTTTTTTTGAAAAACTAGCTCCTGGATTCATTGATGTTTTGGAGGGATTGTTGTGTCTCTATCTCCTTCAGTTCTGCTCTGATCTTAATTATTTCTTGTCTTCTGCTAGCTTTTGGATTTGTTTATTCTTGCTTCTGTGCCTCTTTTTATTGTAATGTTAGGGTGTTGATTTGAGATCTTTCTAACTTTCTGATGTGGGCATTTAGTGCTATAAATTACCCTCTTAACACTACTTTAGCTGTGTCCAAGAGATTCTGGTATGTTGTCTCTTTGTTCTCACTGGTTTCAAAGAACTTCTTGATTGCTGCCTTGATTTCATTATTTTCCCAGGAGTCATTCAGGAGCAGTTTGTTCAGTTTTCATGTAGTTGTGCAGTTTTGAGTGAGTTTCTTAATCCTGAGTTTTAATTTGATTGCACGGTGGTCTGAGAGACTGTTATGATTTCAATTCTTTTGCATTTGCTGATGAGTGTTTTACTTCGAATCATGTGGTTGATTTTAGAATAAGTGCCATGTGGCACTGAGAAGAATTGTATACTCTGTTGATTTTTGGTGGAGAGTTCTGTAGATGTCCACTCAATCCAGGGCTGAGTTCAAGTCCTGAATATCCTTGTTAATTTTCTGTCTCATTGATCTGTCTAATATTGACAGTGGGGTGTTAAGGTCTTCCACTATTATTGTGTGTCAGTCCAAGTCTCTTTGTAGTTCTCTAAGGACTTGCTTTATGAATCTGGGTGCTCCTGTATTGGGTGCATATATATTTAGGATAGTTAGCTCTTCTTGTTGCATTGAATCCTTTACTATTATGTAATGCCCTTCTTTGTCTTTCTTGATCTTTTGTGGTTTAAAGTCTGTTTTGTTAGAGACTAGGATGGCAACCCCTGCTTTTTGTTGTTGTTGTTGCTTTCCATTTGCTTGGTAAATTTTCCTCCCTCCCTTTATTTTGAGCTTATGTGTGTCTTTGCATGTGGGATGGGTCTCCTGAATACAGCACACTGATGGGTCTTGACTCTTTATCCAATTTGCCAGTCTGTGTCTTTTAATTGGGGCATTTAGCCCATTTACCTTTAAGGTTAATATTGTTATGGGTGAATTTGATATTGTCAGCATGATGCTAGCTCGTTATTTTGCACACTAATTGATGCAGTTTCTTTATAGTGTCATTGGTCTTTATATTTTGGTTTGTTTTTGCAGTGGCTGGTACTGATTTTTCCTTTCCATATTTAGTGCTTCCTACAGGAGCTCTTGCAAGGTAGGCCTAGTGATGATGAAATCCTTCAGTATTTGCTTGTCTGGAACAGATTTTATTTCTCCTTTGCCTATGAAGCTTAGATTGGCTGGATATGAAATTCTGGGTTGAAAATGCTTTTCTTTAAGAATGTTGAATATTGGCCCCCACTCTCTTCTGGCCTGTAGGGTTTCTGCTGAGAGATCTGCTGTTAGTATGATGGGCTTCCCTTTGTAGGTGACTTGGCCTTTCTCTCTGGCTGCCCTTAACATTTTTTCCTTCATTTCTACCTTGGAGAATCTAATGATTATGTGTTCTGGGGTTGATCTTCTCATGGAGTATCTTAGTGGTGTTCTCTGTATTTCCTGAATTTGAATGCTGCCCTGCCTTTCTAGGTTGGGGAAGTTCTCCTGGATAATAACCCGAAGTGTGTTTTCTAACTTGGTTTCATTCTCCCCGTCTCTTTCAGGTACTCCAATCAATCGTAGGTTTGGTGTTTTTACATTGCCCCGTATTTCTCAGAGGTTTTGTTTGTTCCATTTCTTTATTTATTTTCTAATCTTCTCTGCATATCTTATATCAGCAAGATCATCTTCAACCTCTGATATCCTTTCTTCTGCTTCATTGATTCAGCTATCAATACTTGTGTATGCTTCACGAAGTTCTTGTGCTGTGTTTTTCAACTCCATCAGGTCATTTATGTTTCTCTCTGTACTGGTTATTCTAGTTAGCAGCTCCTGTAACCTTTTATGAAGGTTCTTAGCTTCTTTGCACTGGGATAGAAAATGCTCCTTTAGCTCAGTGCCTTCTGAAGTATACTTCTGTCAGTTTGTCCATCTCATCCTCCAACCAGTTCTGTGCCCTTGCTGGAAAGGCGTTGGGATCATTTGGAGAAGAGGTACACTGGCCTTTTGGGTTTTCAGAATTTTTTCATTGATTCTTTCTCATCTTCATGAGTTTGTCCAGTTTTGATCTTTGAGGCTGCTGACCCTTGGATGGGGTTTTGTTGATGCTGTTGTTGTTGCTTTCTGTTTGTTTGTTTTTCTTTCAATGGTTAGGTCCCTCTTCTGTAGGGAAGTTGGGGTTTTCTGGGGGTTCACTTCAGGCCCTATTCATCTGGTTCATTCCTGTGCCTGGAGATGTCACTCGAGGAGGCTGGAGAACAGCAAAGATGGGTGCATGCTCCTCCCTCTGGGATCTCTGACCCTAAGGGGCACTGACCTGGTGCCAATATGTACCCTCCTGAATACGGTGTCTGACAACCCCTTCTGGAGGGTCTCACCCAGTTGGGTGGCATGGGGAGCAGGACCCGTTTAACAAAGCACTTTGACTGTTTCTTGGTGGAGGGAGTGTGTTTTATTGGGGGGAATCCTACTCATCTGGGCTTCCCAGATTTCTCAGAACTAGCAGGAGGAAAGACTATGTCTGCTGGTCCACAGAGACTGAGGCCACCCCTCCTGCTAGGAACTCAGGCCCAGAGAGATCAGACTTCTGTTCCTGAGTTCCTGGGGCTAGAGTTGGAGTTCCTGCAGGGAGGCCCTGCCCAATGAGGAAGAATGGGTCAGGGTCAGGTCTGAGGAGGTGCTCTGGCCGCAGTCTGCCACAACTGGTGTGTTGGGCTGTGGGGGATACCTCTTGGGACCAAGCCATCCAGCCTCCCTGGCTCCAGCAGGGAAAAAGCATGACCTGGAGCTATAGAGATGGCTGCTGCCCTTCCCTTGCCCTGGGAGCTTAGTGTTAGGCAGCTATTAGTCCCAATGCTGGTTGCCACCCCTCCCACAAGGAGCTCAAATGACTTAGACAGCAGACAGCAGCAGCTGTGATGCTGGCTGCGCTCCCACGGGAAGACTGGCAGGCTTAAGCCATTTTGTGCTGAGTGGCTTTTGAGAATCTATGCAGCTCCGTGGTTGGGGCCTTAGGCCCTGGTGGCATGGGCTCATGAGTGGAATCTTCTGGTTCATGGGTTGCACAGTTCAGTGAAAAAGCACGGTTTCCCAGGCTGGGTAGCACATTCACTCACTGCCTCCCTTGGCTTGGGACTGGGGGCTCCCCTGCCTCATGTGGCTCTTGGGTGGGCCGTCAAACCACACTGTTCTTCCTTCCTCTCCATGGACCACGCCAGCTGCCGAGTCAGTCCTGATGACAGAACCTGGATACCTCACTTGCCGGTTCTGGATTTGCATGCTGTTATGGTTCTTTTCCATGGCAACCTCCGATCTCTGCTGCTTCTAGTTGGCCATCTTGGCCCTGCCCCACTGAGATCCTTTTAAATTGTTGCTGTGGGCGTTTAGTGCTATAAGTTTCCCCCTAAACACTGCCTTCGCTGTGTCCCAGTGATTCTTGAATGTTGTATCTTTATTCTCATTAGTTTCAAATAACTTGATTGCTGGCTCAATTTCATTATTTACCTGAAAGTTATTCAGGAGCAGGTTATTCAGTTTCCATGTAATCGTATGGTTTTAAGAAAATTTCTTAGACCTGATTCCTGATTTAATTGTGCTGTGGTCCAACAGAGTGGTTATTATAATTTCAGTTCCTTTGCACTTGCTGAAGAGTGTGTCTGATTATGCGGTTGATTTTAGAGTATATGCCATGTGGTGATGAGAAGAATGTATATAATATTGCTTTTGAATGGAACTTTCTGTAGATGTCTATCAGGTCCACTTGATATAGTGTTAAGTTCAGGTCCTGAATATCTTTGCAAATGTTCTGCCTCAATGATGTGTGTAATACTGTTAGTGGGGTCAAGGGGGTCTCCTCCTGCTGGGATTCCAGAGGCTCTTGACAAAAGCAGGTTACTCCTTGACAGTTTAACTCGCCTGTTCTCCTGGGGTCACTGGGGGCCAAGAATGAGTCCTGGTGTGAAGTAGCCCTATGCAGTGTTTCCAGCTTCCTTCCTCTTCAGCCCAGCTTCTGTGACTTTCCTCCATCCACTCTCAGTGCCTTACCACTGAAGATCTGTTAGAAGTGTGCCAGTTGTCTCGATCCCTCAGTGTTAGCTGTTCCACCTGGTTGTGTCTATTGAGCCATCTTACCCTCTAAATCTGATTTATTTCAACACTTAAAAATGTTAAAAAAAAAAAATCTGTAGCTCCTGGAAAGATTGTATGTGTTGTATGTGCCCAGGATTCATAGTTTACTGACTCCGGATTTATAGCATAAAGTTTTTTCTGATACATGTAAGATTATAAACGAAGGTGTAGTGTGCCTAGAACACAGGCAATGAGACTGTTCTTTTTCATTTTCAATGGGCAATGTGTGTGTATGTGTGTGTGTACACATGCAAACACCTACATGGCTCTACAAATAATTATTAGATCACATGGGATCAATGAGAAAGATAATAATTAGTATCACATCATAATTAGACACTATATGAAGCATGGCTGTATATTAATACAACTGGTGTTTAACAAACTTATCAGAACATACATATTTAGACAAATGCCATTAATTTCCAGATAGCTGTCCTGAGAGGCTGTATTCATTACTCACAAGTGGGCTACCATTGTTCAGACCACTTTTGGAATATTTAATTAGAAATTGCATTCAAAGATAACTGGTAACAAGGCAGTGGCATTTTTGACTCTACACATCCTGGTCAATTTTTAAAAAACTGTTAACATTATCATTAAAAAATGCTCTACTTAGCAACATACATTAATTATATCTATTTAAGATTTTGCAGATGTTAATATTGATTTTTTGTTCTTATAACTATTTTCTTAAATTATCATTATTTTTTAAAACAAAATATATCTACACAATTTTATTGACATCTATTTGTCTAATGTGCTTGAAAAACAAACTCTGGTATCATTTGTGATTGAGACTCAGCCAATACATAATGGTTTCAGATAATCTTTTTCCAGTCATCTTTATGAGGAACCTCTCATCAGCTATGACAGCAGATAGTAAGAATGAGACAAATAAATGCCAAATACAGTAGCTACTAAAGCATCTAGTTCTCTCAGCCTAACCATTTGGCTGCTTGTTATGGTTGTTGGTATGCAGATATTTCACAAACTAGTAAAGTCTGAATATTTACTATTTTGTGTTAATCACCATGAACAACATTAACAAGACTCAATACAGACATAGCTCATTTTATTGTGCTTCATTTCGTTGTGCTTCATAGATATTGCTTTTTTTTTTTTAAATCTGAAGGTTTATAGCAACCCTACATTAAGCAAATCTACTGGTGCCATTTTTCATTTTTCCAACAGCCAATGCTCACTTTGTGTCTCTATGTCACTTTTTGGTAATTCTTGCAATGTTCAAAACTTTTTTGTTATTATTATCTCTCTCTATATATATATTTGAGACAGAGTCTCACTCTGTCATCCAGGCTGGAGTGCCGTGGCACCATCTTGGCTTCTCAGCTCACTGCAACCTCAACCTCCCAGGTTCAAGCCATTCTCATGTCTCAGCCTCCCAAGTAGCTGGGATTACAAACATGCGCTACGGCAGTCAGCTGTTTTTTGTTTTTTTTTTTTATAGAGACAAGGTTTTGCCATGTTGCCCAGTCTGGACTTGAACTCCTGACCTCAAGCGATCTGCCCATCTCAGCCTCCCAAAGTGTTGGGATTACAGGGGTGAGCCACCGTGCCCCACCTACTATTATATCTCTTATGGTAATCTGTGATCAGTGTTCTTTTTCATAATTTTTAATTTTTGTGGGTACATAGTAGGTGTATGTATTTATGGGTTACATTAGATATTTTGATACAGGCATGCAATGTGTAATAGTCACATCAGGTTAAATGGAGTATCCGTCACTTCAGGCATTTATATTTTGTGTTACAAACAATCTAGTTACACTTTTTGTTATTTTAAAATGTACAATTTAATTATTTTTGGCTATAGATGTTACTATTATAATTATTTGGGAATCCACAAACCTTGCTCATATAAAATGAAAAACTTAATTGATGAATGTCCTGTCTGTTCTGACTGCGACGTGAACTGGCCCTTTCCATGTATCTCTCCTTCTCCTTCAGCCTACCTATTTTCTGAGATACAACACTCCTTAAAGTAGGCCAGTTAATGACGCTAAAATGGCCTCTAAGTGTTCAAATGAAAGGAAAAGTCACATGTCTCTCATTTAAATTAGAAGCTAAAAATGATTAAGTTTATTGAGGAAAGCATACCAAAAGCCAAGATAGGCAGAAAACTAGGCTTCTTGTGCCAAAAAGTTAGCCACATTGTTAATGCAAAGGAAAAGTTCTTGAAGAAAATTGAAAGTGCTACTCCAGTGAACACAAAAATGATAGAAAGTGAAACTGCCTTATGGCCAATATGGAGAAAGTTTCAGAGGTCTAGATAGAAGATCAAACCATCCACAACGTTCCCTTCAGCCAAAGCTTAATCCAGAAAAAGTTCCTAACACTCTTCAATTCTACGAAGGCTGAAAGAGGCGAGAAAGCTACAGGAAAAAAAAAAATGAAGTTAGCAGAGGTTGGTCATGAGGTTTAAGGAAAGAAGCCATCTCCATAATATAAAAGTGCAGCAAGTGCTTATAAAGAAGCTGCAGCAAGTTATCCGGAAGATCTAGCTAAGATAATTAATGAAGGTGGCTACACTGAACAACAGATTTTCAGTGTAGATGAAGCAGCCTTATATAGGAAGAAGATGCTATATAGGAATTTCATGGCTACAGAGAAGTCAATACCTGGCTTTAAAGCTTCAAAGTACATATTGACTCTCTTGTTAGGGCCTAATGCAGCTGGTGACTTTAAATTGAAGCCAATGATCATTTACTATTCTGAAAATGCTAGGGCCCTTAAGGATGATGCTAAATCTACTCTGCCTGTGCTCTACACATACAACAACAAAGCCTGGATGACAGCACATCTGTTTACAGCATGGTGTATTAAATATTTTAAGCTGACCGTTGATCCCTAATGCTAAAAAAAGATTAATTTCAAAATATTTGCTTATTGACAATGCAACTGGTCGCCCAACACTTCTGAAAAAGATATAAAAGGAAATTAATGTTGTTTTCATGACTGCTAACAAAACATTCATCCTGCAGTCCATGAATCAGGAGTAATTTCAACTCTCAAGTATTATCATTTAAGAACTACATTTCATAAGGTTATAGCTGCCATAGTTAGTGATTTGTCTGATGAATCTGAGAAATGCAAATGGAAATGGTTCTGAAAAAGATTCATCATTCTAAATCCCATGAAGAACATTCATGATTCATGGGAGGAGGTCAAAATATCAATATTGACAAGAGCTTGGAAGAAGGTGATTCCCCCACTCATGGATGACTTTGAGGGGTTCAAGACTTCATTGAAGGAAGCCACTGTAGATGTTGTGGAAGTAGCAAAAGAACTAGACTTACAAGTGGAGCTTGAGGATGTGACTGAATTGTTGCAATATCATGATAAAACTTGAATGGATACAAAGTTGCTTCTTACGAATGATAAAAAAGTGGTTTCTTGAGATAAAATCTACTTCTGGTGAAGATGCGGTGAACATTGTTGAAATGACAACAAAAGATTTAGAATATTACATGAACTTACTTGATAAGGCAGTGGCAGGGTATAAAAGGATTGACTGAAATCTTGAAAGAAGTTTTGCTGTGGGTAACACGCTATCAAACAGCATTGCATGCTACAGAGTATTTTTGTCAGGAAAGGAAGAGCCAATCAATGTAGCAAACTTTACTATGATCTTCTTTTAAGAAATTGTCACAACTACTCCAAACTTCAGCATCCACCACCCCATTAGCCATACCTCATTGCCAACATCAAGGCAAGACCCTTCACCAGCAAAAAGATTTCAATGGAATTTCATATCTCACAGTGTCCTGTAAATAAAGATTAAAGTCCACCATTTTCTTTCTTTAAAAAAAAAGATTTCAAAGCAATGAAGCCTCAGATGAGTGTTAGCATTTTTAGCAATAAAATATTTTGAAATTAAGATACGCACATTATTTTATTTTATTTTGTTTTATTTTATCTTTTTTTGCAGCATGAAATGTTTTATTTATTTATTTTTATTATACTTTAAGTTTTAGGGTACATGTGCACAACATGCAGGTTTGTTCCATATGTATACATGTGCCATGTTGGTGTGCTGCACCCATTAACTCGTCATTTAACATTAGGTATATCTCCTAATGCTATCCATCCCCACTCCCCCGACCCCCAACAGGCCCTGGTGTGTGATGTTCCACTTCCTGTGCCCATGTGTTCTCATTGTTCAATTCCCACCTATGAGTGAGAACATGCAGTGTTTGGATTTTTCTCCTTGCGATAGTTTTCTGAGAATGATGGTTTCCAGCTTCAACCATGTCCCTACAAAGGATATAAGCTCATCATTTTTTATGACTGCATAGTATTCCATGGTGTATATGTGCCACATTTTCTGAATCCAGTCTATCATTGTTGAACATTTGGCTTTGTTCCAAGTCTTTGCTATTGTGAATAGTGCCGCAATAAACATACGTGTGCATGTGTCTTTATAGCAGCATGATTTGTAGCCCTTTGGGTATATACCCAGTAATGGGATGGCTGGGTCAAATGATATTTCTAGTTCTAGATCCCTGAGGAATCGCCACACTGACTTCCACAATGGTTGAACTAGTTTACAGTCCCACCAACAGTGTAAAAGTGTTCCTATTTCTCCACATCCTCTCCAGCACCTATTGTTTCCTGACTTTTTAATGATTGCCATTCTAACTGGTGTGAGATGGTATCTCATTGTGGTTTTGATTTGCATTTCTCTGATGGCCAGTGATGATGAGCATTTCTTCATGTGTCTGTTGGCTGCATAAATGTCTTCTTTTGAGAAGTGTCTGTTCATATCCTTCACCCACTTGTTGATGGGGTTGTTTGTTTTTTTTCTTGTAAATTTGTTTGAGTTATTTGTAGATTCTGGAGATTAGCCCTTTGTCAGATGAGTAGATTGCAAAAATTTTCTCCCATTCTGTAGGCTGCCTGTTCACTCTGATAGTAGTTTCTTTTGCTGTGCAGAAGTTCTTTAGTTTAATTAGATCCCATATGTCAATTTTGGCTTTTGTTGCCATTGCTTTTGGTGTTTTAGACATGAAGTCCTTGCCCATGCCTATGTCCTGAATGGTATTGCCTAGGTTTTCTTCTAGGGTTTTCATGGTTTTAGGTCTAACATTTAAGTCTTTAATCCATCTTGAATTAATTTTTGTATAAGGTGTAAGGAAGGGATCCAGTTTCAGCTTTCTACATATGGCTAGCCAGTTTTCCCAGCACCATTTATTAAACAGGGAATCCTTTCCCCATTGCTTGTTTTTGTCAGGTTTGTCAAAGATCAGATGGTTGTAGATGTGTGGCATTATTTCTGAGGGCTCTGTTCTGTTCCATGGGTCTATATCTCTGTTTTGGTACCAATACCATGCTGTTTTGGTTACTGTAGCCTTGTAGTATAGTTTGAAGTCAGGTAGTGTGATGCCTCCAGCTTTGTTCTTTTGGCTGAGGATTGACTTGGCAATGCAGGCTCTTTTTTGGTTCCAAATGAACTTTAAAGTAGTTTTTTCCAATTCTGTGAAGAAAGTCATTGGTAGCTTGATGGAGATGGCATTGAATCTGTAAATTACCTTGGGCAGTATGGCCATTTTCACGATATTGATTCTTCCTACCCATGAGCATGGAAAGTTCTTCCATTTGTTTGTATCCTCTTTTACTTCATTGAGCAGTGGTTTGTAGTTCTCCTTGAAGAGGTCCTTCACATCCCTTGTAAGTTGGATTCCTAGGTATTTTATTCTCTTTGAAGCAATTGTGAATGGGAGTTCACTCATGATTTGGCTCTCTGTTTGTCTGTTATTGGTGTATAAGAATGCTTGTGATTTTTGCACATTGATTTTGTATCCCGAGACTTTGCTGAAGTTGCCTATCAGCTTAAGGAGATTTTGGGCTGAGACGATGGGGTATTCTAGATACACAGTCATGTCATCTGCAAACAGGGACAATTTGGCTTCCTCTTTTCCTAATTGAATACCCTTTATTTCCTTCTCCTGCCTGATTGCCTTGGCCAGAACTTCCAACACTATGTTGAATAGGAGTGGTGAGAGAGGGCATCCCTGTCTTGTGCCAGTTTTCAAAGGGAATGCTTCCAGTTTTTGCCCATTCAGTATGATATTGGCTGACGCACATTATTTTATTAGACATTAATGCTATTGCACACTTAATAAGCTACAGTATAGCATAAACATAACTTTTTTATGTTTATACTAAAAAATTTCCATGACTCACTTTTTTGAATATTCGTTTTATTGCAGTGGTCTGAAATCAAACCCACAAAATCTCTGGAGCATGCTTCCATAGTATTTTTACAAAATCCAAAAGACTTTTGTCCAATAGAATTATGGACATGTACCAGGTCTACCTTTGCACACCCACAAGTCATTTTAGGCAGAGATTTTATAATGTGAGGCACATACTACTTTAACTACTTGTTTAACACTGATTGTACTTAGATCTGTTCAAATATATTTATACTTGTATACATTTATACTTGCAAGAAGAACAAACTTGCAAAAAGTACTTTTAAAGTCCTCTTTCGAATTATTTATAAACATTTTGTACAAATTCAGTTCTCTACATTTTTAAGGGAAAAAAATCCTCTTACAGAAGCCAATTACAAAGAGAATATGGTTCCTAAAGCAGCACAGATGTTGAGAATAATTTTACATATGGGATAACTTCTCTTTGCCCATTTAAGGAAACATCATATATTCACAGCTGGAATTTATCTAGTAAGAGGTCTTCTAGGGTAAAACCAGCTGCCATTTTGCTATCTCCCTAAGATAAGCCCCTCAGCAGCACATCAAAACATTACTACATTAAACAAAAAAAAAACCACATGGTCTTTATGAACACACATCTGTTCTATGTATTCACCACCACTTCATTATTTTCATATAACCTGAAGAATCAAGTTGTGTCTAATGTTTTTAAAGTACAAAGGATATATGCTAGATTTGCCTATTAGTTTGCTGTAATGGCCCCATATGTCAAGATTGACTTTTGAAAAAACTATCACATAAAACAAGAATTGCCTCTTAGATATTAGAAGATTCATTAGAATAAATTAAAAATATATAAAAAACTACTACATGGGGAAAGAAGGCCTAGATTCTGAGACTGGCTCTAACACTGAAACAAAATTTTGGATTTTTGGCAAGTCACTATTCTCCAGATTTTAGTGGCTTCCTCTATAAGACTCTGGTTTCCACTAAATGATTTTCAGGATCTCTTGTAATGCTGATTCTAAAATCTAAGTATCAATGTTCTTGCTGTTTTTATCAACAATTCTATCTTCTATCAATCTGTATATCTACCTAATTTGACTTATAGAGCAAGGCATCAGGGTGGGAAAATGGGAAATGACATCCACTAAGAAGATATGTTTTTGGTGTTTGCTCTTCCTTCAAATTTGTAAAATCGTTCAAGGCCATAAACATTCTTTTCTATACTTCTTGTATTATATTCACCACTTGAAATAAGACAGTTGGTCAAGCAACAAATTTAGAACACATTTTCTTTCAGGAATATTTGCCTCGTCAAAATTGAAACACATTTTACATTGAATTAAGTGATATGCTATGAAACTGGGGCACTTGGATAAAAATAGTGACTTTTTGGAATGGCTATTACTAAAAAGTCAAAAAATATCATGTTGGTGAGGTTGCAGAAAACAGGGAATGCTTATAGGCTGTTGGTGGAAATGTCAATTAGTTTAGCCACTGGGGAAAGCAATGGAAATTACTCAAAGAGCTTAAAACAGAAATACTGTTCAATCCAGCAATCCTATTCCTGGTTATATACCCAAAGAAATATAAATTGTTCTGCCATAAAGATGCATTCATGTGTATGTTCATTACAGCACTATTCACAATAGCAAAAACATGGAATCAACCTAGATACCCATTGGCTGTGGACTGAATAAAGAAAATGTGGTGTATATACACCATGGAATACTACATAGCCATAAAAAGAATAAAATCATTCCGCTTGCAGTAACATGGATGTGGCTGTAGGCCATTATCCTAAGTGAATTAGCACAGGAACAGGAATCCAAATATCTCATGTTCTCACTTATAAGTAGGAGCTAAACATTGAGTACATGTGGACACAAAGATGAGAATAATAGATTCTGGGTATTACTACAGTGGGGAGGGTAGGAGGAGAGTGAGCACTGAAATACTATCAGGTACTGTGCTCACTACTTGGGTGACGGGATCATTTGTACACCAAACCCAAGTGACAAACAATTTACCCATATAAGAGACCTGCACATGTATCTCCTGAACCTAAAAGTCAGAAAAAAAAATAGTGATTATGGCTTTTTCACTAGCTTATGATTTATCTAGTATTCATCTAAAAAATAGAGACAATATCTATGCATATCCATCTTATAGAATTATTTAATCAAATATTTTGAATATATAAGATCAAACTGTTCTGCACACATGGAAAACTGTGTGGATTATGAATTAATGAGGTAATGAAAGAACTCTCTGAGGGGGTAAAACAGTACCTACGTACCGGTCATTGTGATGAATTTATAATAATTCTAGGTAGAAAAGTCATATTATTGGCTATGTCTGTAAACACATGATAAGTAAGAAGAAAAATGAGAGATGTAATCACTAAAGATATTTTAATGATCATCCCAGATGACAAGAATGATGACAAATTTCTGTAATTGGCTTCACTGTTCAAAATATGAAGGTCCATTTACATTTGGGGTATAAGGCAACTTAGATGCTATCTATTTTAAATGACAGTTGATCATTTGCAAAAATATTTCTTTTTCTTTGCATTGTTCCTTACAAGTAGGTATTTGCTTATTTTGATGAAAGAGAATATTATTTTTTAATCACCTGAGAATCATATTCCTATCATATTCATTTTTCCATGTGCACAGAACAGTTTGGTTATATATAATCAAAGGATTTGTTAAAATAATTATATAAAGTTGATTTGTAGAGATATTGTCTCTGTTTTTTATATAAATACTAGAGAAGTCATAAGTTAGTGAAAATGCAACAGGCCAGGCAAGGTGGCACACACCTGTAATCCCAGCCCTTTGGGAGGCCGAGGCAGGCAGATCATTTGAGGTCAGGAGTTCCAGCCCAGCCTGACCAGCATGGTGAAACCCCATCTGTACTAAAAATACAAAAAAATTAGCCGGGCATGGTGGTGCATACCTATAATCCCAGCTACTTGGGAGGCTGAGGGAGGAGAATCACTTGAACCCAGGAGGCGGAGGTTGTAGTGAGCCAAGATCGCACCACTGCACTGCAGCCTGGGAGAGAGAGATGACTCTGTCTCAAAAAAAAAAAAAAAAAAAAAAAAAAGCAACAGTCACTGTTTTTTATCAAGGGGCCTGGGTTTCATAGCATATCAGTTAATTCAATATAAAATGTGCTTCAATCTTGAGAAGGCAAATCTTTCTGAAAGCAATTCTTTCCTGAAAAATTTCAAGATATTGGTATGCTTAAAACAATAAAATGATTGTGAAATTATTTTCATTGCATTGTAATTTACATTTTATTTGTAATACAGCATGATAATGGCATTGCCTTAGTATGTCATATGTAAGAAGCCACATACTTTTTATTATTTTCAAGGTTTCCTTAACACTGTTCTCATTCTATGCCATTTTGTTGCTGATTAATATATTTAAGATTTAGGATAGACTATCTTGTTAAAAACTTAAAGTTCAAAAACATAAAAATATGCTCTTGATAATTTTAGAACTTGACCACAAAATACCCTGTAAAATTATAGCAAACCACAGCTCTATTTTAATATTTCTATTATTCTTACCTGGAAGCTAGGGAAATTGAGCTAGAATACATCTTTTGAAAGGAAACGCAATCATAACAATGTCCAATCTTAATAATGGGAATAAATTTAGATATTTCAAATATAGTTACTAAAATGGAGCACATAAAATTTTGCTGATTTTCTTAAAAACACAGCTATTGCAATTGTATTCACATTTGGCTAAAAGTGCTATTTCTATAAAATAAAGTATTTGTGGGATGAGTTTGCTCATTTTATTTTGAGTTTGTTTGTTCCGATTTCTTTATCAGTGCCTAAGCATCAAAGGTTATCTATAAAGTGGAGTAACAAGCATTTTGCTCAAGTTCACCTGATATCTAAAGAAAACATATTGGCATCCCTTCACCAGTAAGTGTATCTTTACTTTTGATCAGTACAATAGTTTGTGTCACTCATAAGTAATAATGAAAACTTATTTCATTAAGAAAGATAAAATAAGAAAAATTAACATATTAATTTGGAAAGAGCAGGAAATATACAAGGGAGACAGAGCAAGATGACAGAATAGAAAGCTCTACCTATAGTTGCCCCCCAGCAAGGACACCAAGTTAACAACTATCTATACAGGAAAAAAAAAAACTTTCATAAGAAACAAAAATCAGGCGAGCACTCATAGTACCTAGTTTTAACTTCATATGTCCTAAAGTTGCACTGAAGAAATAAACCCTGTAGAATTACCGATGCTACCACTCCCCCACCTTGGCATGGTGCAGAGAGCTTCTCTGGACACCGAAGGAGAGAAAACACAGCAATCGTGAGGCGCTGAAATAAGTGCTGTCCTGTTAAAGCAGAAAGCAAAACCAGAGCAAATTCAGCTGACCCCCGCCCACAGGAGGAGCATTTAAATCAGCCCTAGCCAGAGAAGGATCCCTTGAAACCAGAGGTCCATACCTGAGTGTCTGCAAACCTCACCATCAAAGGCTACCACACTCTGTCTCAAAGTAAACTTGAAAGGCTGTCTAGGCCATAAGAATTGCAACGTGTATGTGAGTCCTAGTGCTGAACTAGGCCCAGAGACAGAAAACTGAAGAAACCTGGCATACTGAGGCACCAGCTGGAGAAGTCAAGGGAGTGTTAGAATCATCCCTACCCTAACCCCAGGCTGCACAGCTTTCAGCACTGAAAGACACCCCTTTCTTCCACTTGAAGAGAGGAGAAGGAAGGGTGGGAAGGACTTTGTCTTTCATCTAGGATACCACCTGAACCACAGCAGGATAAGGCACTGGTCAGAGTCATGAGGCCCCCCATTCCAGGCTTTAGCTTCCAGATGACATTTCTAGACACACCCTGGGCCAGAAGGGAACCTGCTGCCTTGAAGGAAAGGACCCATTCCTGCCAGCTTTTATCGTCTGCTAACTGAAGAGCTCTTCGGCCCTGCATAACCAGCAGCAATACCCAGGTACTACATTGAGGGTCTTGGTCAGTCTCTGAGATGGGCTGGCTCCAGGTGAGGCTCAGTGCATTAACAGATATGGTGGCTCTGGGGCAAAACTCCTGCTTGAGAAAAGCAGACAGAAAAGTAAATGGGACTTTGTCTTGCATCTGAGGTACCAGCACAACCAAAAGCTGTGGGATTTCAGCAATATCAGGCCACAGGGGTGGAGGTCAGTAGACCACCAAGTGAGCTCTTGGGGTCTGTGATTATAGGACTTGACCCTTAGGTGGCATTTCTGGACCTGACCTGAGTCAGAGGAGAGGCCATTGCCCTGAAGGGTGAGTCCCAGGGCAGGCAGCATTCACAATAAGTTGACTTAAGAGACCTTGGGTCATAAGGGAGTATTGGTGGTAGTCTGGCAGTATACGTCATGGCCTGAGGTGGTGGTGGCTATGGCGAGAGGCTCCTCTGCCTTTGGAAAGAGGGGGAAAGAGTGGGAAGAACTGTGTCTTGTGGTTTGAATATCAGCTCAGGTGCAATACAGTAAAACATTAGGTAGATTTCTAAGGTTTTTGATGCTAGTCCCTGACTACCAAACAGTTCTTCTGGACGCACATAGGGTCTGGGGGACCTCACTGCCATGAAGGGAAGAACATAGGCTTGGCTGGCTTTGACACATGCTGATTGTAGAGCACCAGAGCCTTGAGCAAACATGGGAAGTAGCCAGGGAGTAGTTATAGTGGGTCTTAAATGAGACCCAGCACTGTGCTGGCTTCAGGTGTGACCCAGCAGGGTCATAGTGGTGGTGACCACAGGGGTGCTTATTGTCACTCCAGCTCCAGCTTTACATGGGTTAGAAAAGATAGAGAGGGACTCTGTTTGTTTGGGGCAATGTAAGAGAAGAGAACAAGAGTCTCTGCCTGATAATCCAGAGAAATCTCTTGGATCTTGTTTAATACCATAAAGGCAGCACCACTATGCGTCTGCAAGAACCACAGCATTAATGGGATTGGAGTGCCCCCTAAAGAAGATACAGCTTAGATCACAACACTCACATCCTTTCAAACATCTGGAAAGCCTTCCAAAGAAGGGTGGCTACAGATAAGACAGTGAAGACTACAATACCTATCTAGCTCTTCAATGCCCAGACACTGAAGAATATCTACTAGCATCACCACCATCCAGAAAAACATGACCTCACCAAATGAACTCACTAAGAACTAGGGACCAGTCCTGGAGGAACAGGGGTATGTGACCTTGCAGACAGATAATTCAAAATAGCTGTGTTGAGGAAACTCAAAAAAAGGTCAAGATAACACGGAGAAGGAATTTAGAATTCTATCTGATAAACTGAACAAAGAGATTAAAATAATTATGAATAATAATGCAGAAATTCTGAAGCTGAACAATGCAATTGGCTTACTGAATAATGCATCATCATCCTTTAATTAGCAGAATTGATCAAGCAGAAGAAAGAATTACTGAGCTTGAAGACAGGCTATTTGAAAATACACAGAAGAGTCAAAAGAAAAAAGAATAAAAAAAATGAAGCACACCTATAGGATCAAGAAGATAGCCTCAAAAGTACAAATTTAAGAGTTATTAGCCTTGAAGGAAGTAGAGAAAGAGATAGGAGTAGAAAGATAATTCAAAGGGATAATAACAGAAAACTTCTCAAACCTAGAGAAAGACATCAATATCCAAGTATAAGAAAGAAATCGAACATAAAGCAGATTCAACCTGGAGAAGGTTACCTCAAGCCATTTAATAATCATACTCTCAAAGGTTAACAGTTAAGAACGGATTCTAAAAGCAGCAAGAGAAAACAACACATGTCATACACTGGAGCTCCAATATATCTGGCAGTTGACTTTTCAGTGGAAACCTTACAGGCAAGGGGAGAGTGGCATGACATATTTAAAGTGCTGAAGGAAAAAAAACTTTTACCCTAGAATAGTATATCCAGCTAAAATATTCATCAAACATGCAAGAGAAATGAAGACTTTCTCAGACAAACAAAAGCAGTGTCATTTCAGCAATATCAGACCAGGCCTACAGGAAATGCTATAGGGAGTACTTCAATTAGAAAGAAAAGGACATTAATAAGCAATAAATAATCACCTGAAAATACAAAACCTAATGATAATAGTAAGTACACAGAAAAATACAGAATATTATAAAACTAACTGTGGCATGTAAACTACTTTTATCTTAAGCAGAAAAGCAAAAAATGAACCCATCAAAAATAATAACTACAACAACTTTTCAAGACAGAGTCAGTACAATAAGATATAAATAGAAACAACAAAAAGGTTAAAAGTGGGGGAGCTAAGTTGAGGCATAGAGTTTTTATTTGTTTTCTTTCTTTTTGTTTGTTATACAAAGAGTATTAAGTTGTTATCATATTAAAATAAGAGGATATAAGTTAGTATTTGCAAGCCTCACAGTAACCTCCAAACCAAAAAGCATATAATGGATACATAAAAAATAAAAAGAAAGAAACTTAATCGTATCACCAGAGAAAATAACCTTCACTAGAGGAAGACAGGAAGGAAAGAAAAAAGAAAGAGAAGATCATAAACAACCAGAAAATAAATAAGAAAATGGCAAGAGTAGGTCCTTACTTATCAATAGTAACATTAAATGTAAATAGACTGAATTCTCCAATCGGAAGACATAAACCAGCTGCATGGATAAAGAAGCAAGACCCACTGATCTGTTGCTTACAAGAAACACTTCACCTAAAAAGGCACACATAGGCCAGGCGCAGTGGCTCACACCTGTAATCCCAGCACTTTAGGAGGCTGAGACGGGAGGATCACGAGGTGAGGAGATCGAGACCATCCTGGCTAACATGGTGAAACCCGTCTCTACTAAAAATACAAAAAATTAGCCGGGCGCGGTGGCGGGTGCCTGTAGTCCCAGCTACTTGGGAGGCTGAGGCATGAGAATGGCGTGAACCTGGGAGGTGGAGCTTGCAGTGAGCCAAGCTTGGGCCACTGTATTCCAGCCTGGGCAACAGAGCGAGACTCCATCTCAAAAAAAAAAAAAAAAAAAAAAAAAAGGCACACGTAGACTGAAAATTAAAGGATGGAAAAATATTTCAGGACAATGGAAACCCAAAATGAGCAAGGGTCACTATATTTGTATCAGACAAATTAGATTTCAAGACAAAAACTATGAGAAGAGACAACGAAGTTCACTATATAATGATAATGGGGTCAATTTCACAAAAGAATATAAGAATTTTAAATATATATGTACACTGGAGCACCTGGATATATAAAGCAAATATTATTAGCGCTAAAGAGAGGGATAGTTCCCAATACAATAATAACTAGAGACTTCACCACCAGACCTTCAGCATTGGACAGATCTTCCATACGGAAAATCAACAATGAAACATCATATTTAGTCTGGACTATTATAGACCAAATGGACCTAATAGATATTTACAGAACATTTCATCTAACGACTATATAATATACATTCTTTTCCTTAGCACATGGATCATTCTCAAGGATAGATAATATGTTAGGTCACAAAATATGTCTTAAGACATTGAAAAAAATTAAAATAATATCTGGCATTTTCTCTGACCACAGTGAAATACAACTAGAAATAAATAACAAGAACTTTGAAACCTATATAAATAAATGGAAATTAAATAATATGCTGCTGAATGACCAGTAGGTCAATGACGAAATTAAGAATGAATTCAAAAATTTCTTGAAACAAATCATAATGGAAACACAACATACCAAAACCTATGGAATACAGCAAAAGCAGTATCAAGGGGAAAGTTTATGGCTATAAATGCCTACATCCAAAAAGAGGAAAATCTTCAGATGAATAATGTAATAATCCATCTTAAAGAACTAGAAAAGTAAGAGCAAATCAAACCAAAGTTAGTAGAAGAAAAGAGATAATAAATACCAGAGCACAAATAAATGAAATTAAGATAAAAATACAATACAAAGATAGGTTAAAAAATGCTGGTTTTTTAAAAGTTAGACAAAATTGAGAACCTTTATTCAGACTAAGAAAAAAAGAGAGAAGATCCAAATAAATAAAATCAGAAATGAAAAGGGAGGCATTATAATTGATACTGCAGAAATTCAAAGGATCGTTAGTGACTACTATGAGCAACTCTAAGCTAATAATTTGGAAAATGTAGAAGAAATGGACAAATTCATGTATACATACAACCTAGCAAGATTGAACCAAGAAGAAATCCAAAATCTGAACAGATCAATAGCAAGTAATGAGATTGAAGCCATAATAAAAACTCTCCCATCAAAAAAAAAGAAAAAAAAAAAGCCTGGGACCCCATGACTAAACTGCTGAATGCAACCAAACATTTAAGTGATTAATGCCAATCCTATTCAAACTATTTCAATAAATAGAGGGGGAGGGAGTAATGGCAAATTCATTCTATGGGTCCAGTATTACCCTGATACCAAAACCAGACTGACACAATAAAAAGATAAAACTACAGGCCAATATCTCTGATGAGTATTGATGCAAAAATCCTCAACAAAATACTAGCAAGCTAAAATCAACAATACATTCGAAAGATCATTCATCATTACCAAGTGAGATTTATCTTTGGGATGCAAAGATGGTTCAATATAAACAAATCAATGTGATATATCAAGAGAATGAAGGATAAAAACTGTATGATCATTTCAATTGATCCTGAAAAACCATTTGATAGAATTCAACATCCTTTCATGATAAAAACCCTAAAAAACCTGGGAATAGACGGGACATTCCTCAACATAATCAAAGCCATATATGAAAGACTAATACATAGTATCACAGCGAATGGTGAAAAACTGAAAGCCTTTCCTCTAACATCTGGAACATGACAGGAATGCCCACTGCCACTACTGTTATTCAACATAGCACTGGAAGTTCCAGCTGGAGCAATGAGCCATAAGAAAAATATAAAAGAATCCAAATTAGGAAGGAAAAAGTCAAATTATTCTTGTATGAATATGATATAATCTTATATTTGAAAAAACCTAACAACTCCACAAGAAAACTATTAGAAGTGATAAAAATATTCAGTAAAGTTGCAGGATACAAAATCAACATACAAAAATTAGTAGCAATTCTATATACCAACAGTGACCAATGTAAAAAGAAAATAAAATTAGTCCTATTTACAATAGCCACACATAAAATTAATTGCCTAGTAATTAACCAAAGAAGTGAGAGGCCTCTATGATAAAACTATGAAACATCGATGAAATAAATTGAAGAATGCACCAATAAATGGAAAAAAATTCCATTTTCATGGATTGGAAGAATGAATGTTGTTAAAATGTCCATACTACCCTAAGCTATCTACACATTTAATGCAATCCTATCAAAATACCAATGACATTCTTCACAGATTTAGAAAAAAAAAATCCTAAAATTAATATGAAACCACAAAAGACCCAGAATAGCCAAAGCTATTCTAAGCGAAAGAACAAAACTTGAGGAATCACATAACATGTCCTCAAATAATACTACAAAGCTATAGTAACCAAAACAGCTGGAACTTGCATGAAAACAGACACATAGATCAATGGAACAGAATAGAGAACGCAGAAAGAAATCCACACCCCAACAGTGAATTCATTTTTGACAAAGGTGCCAAGAACATATCATGGGGAAAGGCCAGTTTCTTCAATAAATGGTGCTGGGAAAACTGGATCCCTATATTCAGAAGAATGAAACTAAACCTCTATCTCTTGCCATATACCAAAATCAAATGAAAATGGATTAAAGACTTAACTCTAAGACCCCAAAGTCAAAGGCTATTACAAGAAAACACTGAAAAAATCTCCAGGATATTGGTCTGGGCAAAGAATTCTTGAGCAATAGACAATAAGAGCAGGCAACCAAAGAAAAAAATGGACAAGTGGGATAACATCAAGTTAAGAAGTTTCTGCACAACAAAAGATACAATAAAAAAAGTGAAGCAATAACTTACAGAATGGGAGAAAATATTTGCAAACTACCCATCTGCAAGAGATTAATAATCACAACATATAAAGAGCTCAAACAGGGCTGGGCGTGCTGGCTCACACCTATAATCCCAGCAATTTGGGAGGGTGAGGTGGGCAGATCACCTGAGGTCGGGAGTTCGAGACCAGCCTGACCAACATGGAGAAACCCCATCTCTACTAAAAACACAAATTTAGCTAGGCATGGTGGTGCATGCCTGTAATCCCAGCTAGTCAGGAGGCTGAGGCAGGAGAATCTCTTGAACCCAGTTGGCAGAGGTTGTGGTGAGCCGAGAGCACGTCATTGCACTCCAGCCTGGACAACAAGAGAGAAACTCTGTCTCAAAAAAAAAAAAAAAAAAAAAAAAAAAGCTCAAATAACTCTGTAGGAAGAAAATCTAATAATCCAATCAAAAAATGAGCAAAAGATTTGAATAGACATTTCTCAAAACAAGACATACAAATGGCAAACAGGCATATGAGAAGGTGCTCAACATCACTGATCATCAGAGAAATGCAAATCAAAACTACAATGAGATATCATCTCACCCCAGTTAAAATAGCTTATATCCAAAATACAAGCAATAACAAATGCTGGGGAGGATGTGGAGAAAAAATAACTCTTATATACAGTTGTTGGGATTGGAAATTAGTACAATCACCAGGGAGAATAGTTTGGAGATTCCTCAAAAAACTAAAAATTGTGCTATCATATGATCTTGCAATCCTACTGCTGTGTATATACCCAAAAGAAAGGAAATCAGTATATCAACAAGATTTCTGCACTCGTATGTTTATTGCAGCACTGTTCACAATAGCCAGGATTTGAATGCAACCTAAGTGTCCATCAATAGATGAATGGATTTAAAAAATGTCATAGATATACACAATGGAATACCATTCAGACATCAAAATAAAGAAATCCAGTCATTTGCAACAACATGGATGGAACTTGTGATCATTATGTTAAGTGAAATAAACCAAACACAGAAAGACAAACATGGCATGGTCTCGCTTATTTGTGCGATCTAAAAATCAAAGCAATTGAACTCATGGGGATAGAGAGTAGAAGAATGATTACCTGAGACTAGGAAGGGTAATGGGGGGCTTGGGTGAGGGTGAAATGTTTAATGGGTAAAAATATAGTTAGAACGAATAAACAAGACTACTAATCGGTAGCACAATAGGGTGACCATAGTCAATCACAACTTAATTGTACATTTTAAAATAACTTAAAATTTTTAATTGGATTGTTTGTAACTTGAAGGATAAGTGCTTGAGGGGATGGATACTCCCTTCTCTATGACATCCTTATTTCACATTGCATGCCTGTATCAAAAAATCTCATGTACCCCATAGATATATACACTCATTATGTACCCACAAAAATAATTTTTTAAAAGGAAATAAGAATGTACTTAGGTATAACTTTAAATACAATAGAAACTAAATATGTAATATATTAAATACTATTTTATTTCATTGTATGCTGTAATACTTCGGTTAACCAGAACCCAGTCCAGTGGCACCTTGGCAAATCCGTATGTGAAAATGGAACAAAGGAATTAATATAAATCCAAAAGAACTAAAGATTTGGACTCAAATGTGGTCTGTTTGATATCTTCAGGTGAAACATTCAATTTACACTAAAGTCATAATAACATTCATTAATTACTTTAATTAAGGAGTATAACTTCAGGGTAGGGTTTGTATGATCCAGCCCTGGTCATATATAATCGTTACTTTCTTACCTAGTGAGAGTAGAATCTGTCTGCCTGCCAGTTGACTCATGTTTTTAAACCCCCCATACATAGTGAAACACCATTTCTTCAGTCATTAACCTAGAGTTACTTTGCCAGCTAAGACGACGAAAGCCAATGTTATATTTCCATTTTAAAAATTAGACTCCTATTTTAAGGCTGTCCCTTTACACCTGCTTACTCTGAACTGCTGCAAGCCGTGAAGCTATTCATGTAGCCTTAATCCAGGGACATACAGTTTGGTAGGGATAAAGAAGAAACAATGAAAAAGAAAAATATGCCATGCTAGATTGTTGGAATAAACACCAGCAATGAGATTAGTTATTACAAATGGGTCATTCTTCTCACCATCTGATTCCATGACTACCTCTGAGTCTCTCCATCTAGTATAGCCAGTGTTATATGTTTATTCTTCAATTAAAAAGTAGGAAGCTGTCATTTTTTTATAAAGCTCTACTGACTCTATTATTTTAAACCATACAAATTTCAGAGTAAATATTTTATTTTTTCTTCTAAGTTTATGCTGTTTATGTAACATTTTTAGTAACAATTTTGAACATTTTCATGTGGCCTCTTTCCAGACATATTGCTCTGGTTGAAGTTTCATGAGAAACATAGGTGTCTTCCAAAAAATAACAGAATTAAGAGTGTAAACAAATATCAATGCACATATTTGAAGGTTTTGGTGGTTGATCCCACTAGTCTAGGCAGGGAATAACCCACTTTAAAGAACTGCACTGAATAAAACAATAAAAACTGTTAAATGGAAAATCCATTAATCAAAATAAATTTGTTGCCAACATACCAGTTAACTGAAATGTTACTGTATTGCTCTTTTACAGAAACATACTATTAAGGCTGGGGATGGTGGCACATGTCTGTAATCCCAGCACTTTGGAAGGTTGAGGCAGGAGGATCACTTGAGCCCAGAAGTTTGAGACCAGCCAGGGCAACACAGTGAGGCTCCATCTTTACAAAAAAAATTTAAAAATAGTTGGACATGGTGGGGCATGCCTGTAGTGCCAGCTACTTGAGAGGCTGAGGTGGGAGGATCCTTTGAGCTGGGGAGGTTGAGGCAGCAGTGAGCCGTGTTTACATCATTGCACTACAGCCTAGGAGATGAGTGAGAGACTGTCTCAAAAAAAATAAAATAAAAGGAAAAGAAACATGCAAACATACTATCAATCAGGAAATAGATTATTTACTGAATATGTACTGAATGCTTACTACTGTATTCGGCATAGTGACAATATTGGAAAATATAACACACGAGCCCCACCTTATAGGAGCTTATAATTTGGATGGAGAGGAAAAAATTACATAAAAGGACAATTAAATACAAACAAATAAATGTATAAATATAATGTTCAACATGGTAGAATATATCATAGAGAAATGGTTAGTCTGGATGGACTAAGACTACAGTTAACATATAGCAAAATTATTTCAGACTTTTGTAGAATTAACAAATACCACCATAGGATAAAAAAACAATAAAGATGATTGATAGAGTCAAATAGATCCACAACCTAAGAGGATTTTTTTTTGCAAAGATAAACAAAATTGATAAAAGTATGTTGAATTTTATCAAATTTTATCAATCTTTTAGCTAGACTAAGAAAACAAGAGAAGACTCAAATAAATAAAATCAGAACTAAAAGACCAGGCATTACAACGGATACCACAAAGATACAAAGAATCTTAAGAGGCTACTATGAAGAATTATTCACCAACAAATTGAATAACTAGAAGAAATAGATTAATTTCTGGAAACATACAACTTACCAAGACAGAATTATGAAGAAATAGAAAATCTTGCTGTGTGCGGTGGCTCATGCCTGTATTCACAGCAATTTGGGAGGCCGAGGTGGGCAGATCACTTGAGGTCAGGAGTTCGAGCCCAGCCTGGCCAACATGGTGAAATCCCGTCTCTACTAAAAATACACAGATTAGCAGGGCATGGCGGCGGGAGCCTGTAATCCCAGCTACTCAGGAGGCTGAGGCAGAAGAATCACTTGAACCTGGGAGGTAGAGGTTGCAGTGAGCTAAGATTGTGCCACTGCACCCCAGCCTGGGTGACAGAATGAGACTCTGTCTCAAGAAAAAAAAAAGAAACGAGAAAAGAAATAGGAAATCTTAACAGATTAATTACACATGAGGAGGCTGAATCAGTAATCAAAAATCTAACAAAGAAAACACCAGGAACAGATGGCTTTATTGGTGAATTCTACCAAATATTTAAAGCAAAACTACAATATAAGCAATCCCTCACAAACTCTTTTAAAAACTGAAGAGAGGAGAGAACACCTCCAAAACCACTTTATGAGACCAGCAATACCCTGTTACCAAATCCAGACAAGGACATTATAAAAAAAATTATAGTCAATATGCCTGATAAACATTGATACAAATATCTTCAACAAAATACTAACAAACTGAAATCAGCAGCACATTAAAAAGATCATACACCATGATCAAGTGGGATTTATTTCTGGAATGCAATGATGATTAAACATATACAAATCAATAAATATACAACTCATTAACAGGATGAAAGACAAACATCATATAATCATCTTAATAGTTGCAGAAAAAATTTGATAAAATTCAACATACTTTTATCATTAAAAACTTTCAATAAATTAGATATAGAAGGAACATAGCTCAACATAACATAATAAGAATCTTGTAAGACAAACCCACAGCTAACATTCTATTCAACAGTGAAAATTTGAAACTTTTCCTCTAAGATAAGGAATAAGACAAAGATGTCTCCTTTGCCACTTCTATTCAACATAGTACTAGAAGTCCCTGCCAGAAAAATTAAACAAGAAAAAAAAAGACATCCAAATCAGAAAGAAGTAAAATTTTCAGTGTTTGCAGGTGACATGACCTTGTGTAAAAACACTAACAATTCACCAAAACCTGTTAGAAATAATAAAGGAATTCAATAAAGCTGCAAGACACAAAATCAACATAAAAATACCAGTTGCGAATTTATATACTAACAACTAACTATTAAAAAAGTAATTAAGTAGACAATACAATTAACAATAAATTTTAAAAAATACAGCTGGACCCTTGCGCAACATGGGGGTTAGAGGCACTAACTTCCATGCTGTTGAAAATCCACATATGACCTTTGACACTCTAAAATCTTTACTACTAATTGCCTACTGTTGACTGTAAGCCTTGATGATAACATAAACAGTTGATTAACACATAGTTTGTATGTTATGTGTATCATATGCTGTATTCTTACAATAAAGTAAGCTAGATTAAAGAAAATGTTATTAAGAAAATCATAAAAAGAGAAAATATATTTACTATTCCTTAAGTGGAAGTGGGTTATCATAAAGCTCTTTATCGTTACCATCTTCACATAAATTAGGCTGAAGAGGAGAAGGAAGAGGTGGGGGTTTGGTTTCCTGTCTCAGGTCTGATAGAGGTGAAAGAAAACCATGTATCTGTAAACCTGTGTGGTTCAAACCTGTGTTGTTTAAGGGTCAACTGTACTTAGGGATAAGTTAACCACAGAGGTACAATATCTGTACACTGAAAACTGTAAAGTATTGATTTTTAAAAATGAAGAAGGGTTGGGCGTGGTGGCTCACACCTGTAATCCCAGCACTTTGGGAGGCCGAGGCAGGTGGATCACCTGAGGTCAGGAGTTCGAGACCAGCCTGGCCAACTTGGAGAAACCCTGTCTCTACTAAAAATACAAAAATTAGCTGGGCATGGTGGTGGGCACCTGTAATCCCAGCTACTCGGGAGGCTGAGCAGGAGAATCATCACTTGAACCGGGGAGGCGGAGATTGCAGGGAGCCGAGATTGCACCATTGCACTCCAGCCTGGGTGAGGAGACTGAACCTCCGTCTCAAAAAAAAAAAAAAAAAAAAAAAGGCCAGGTGTTGTGGCTCATGCCTGTAATCCCAGCACTTTGGGAGGCTGAGGCGGGCGGATCACAAGGTCAGGAGATCGAGACCATCCTGGCTAACACGGTGAAACCCCGTCTCTACTAAAAAATACAAAAAATTAGCCAGGCGTGGTGGCGGGGGCCAGCTACTTGGGAGGCTGAGACAGGAGAATGGCATGGACCTGGGAGGTGGAGCTTGCAGTGAGCCAAGATCGCGCCACTGCACTCCAGCCTGGGCGACAGAGTGAGACTCGGCCTCAAAAAAAAAAAAAAAAAAAAAAAAAAAGAAGATAATACAAATAAATAGATACCCCATGTGCTTAGATTGGAAGAATTTATAGTGTTACCATGTCTATGATATCCAAAGCAATGTACAGACTTAATACAATTCCTATCAATATCCCAATAGCATTTTTCATGGAAATAGAACACAAACAACTCTAAAATTCATATGGAACCACAAAAACCTCAGAATAGCTAAAAGACTCTTGAGGAAGAAGAACAAAGCTGGAGGCATTACACTACTTGAGTCCAAACTATGGTACAAAGCTATAGTAATTAAAACAGTATGGTACTGGCATAAAGACAGACACATAGGCCAATGGAACAGAATAGAGTCCATTAATAAACCCACACATAGACAGTTAAGTAATCTTCAAGAAAGGTACCAAGAATGCACAATAGGGAAAGCATAGTCTCCTCAATAAGTGGCACTGGGAAAACTGGATATCCATATTCAAAAAGAAGAAAGATAGACTCTTATCTTACATCACACACAAACATCAACTCAAAACTGATTAAGACTTAAATATAACTCATAAAACTGTAAAATTCCTAGAAGAAAACAGAGGAAAGCTCCTTGACATTTGTCTCAGCAGTGTTTTTTTTGTTTGTTTTTTTGTTTTCTTTTTTAACGTGACACCAAAAGAATAGGCAACAAATGCAAAGATAAACAATTGGAACTACATTAAACTAAAACATTTCTGCATAGCAAAGGAAACCACTAAATGAAAAGGCAACCTACAGAATAGGAGGACATATTTACAAATCACATATCTGATAAGGGGTTAATATCTAAAATATATAACTAACTCATACAACTAAATACTTTTAAAAGATTATAAAACACCGAATAATCCAATGAACAATATGCAAAAGACTTGAATAGTCATTTCTGCAAAGACAAAAAAATGATGGCTAACAAGCACATGAAAATGTGTGCAACATCACTAATCATTAGGGAAATGCAAATTAAAACCATGATGAAATATTACTCCATTACCTGTTAGATTGGCTATTATAAAAAACAGTAAAAACATCAATTGTTAGCAAAGATGTGGGGAATAGGGAACCCTTGTAAACTGTGGGGGGGGGATGTAAATTCGTACAGCCATTATGGAAAACAGTGTGGATGTTCCTCGACACCTTGAAAATAGACCTACAATGTGATTCAGCCATCCCACTTCTGGGGAATTTCCTAAGGAAATTAAATCACCATGCTAATGGGATATCTACGTTCTCATGTTCTTTGCAGCATTATTCACAATAGCCAAGATATGGAAGCAACCTAAGTGTCCATCAATATATAAATGAATAAAGAAAATGTAATGTATATATACAATGGAATATTATTCAGCCCTTAAAAACAAGGAGATCCTGATATTTGTGACAACATTGATGAACATGGAGGACATTATACTAAATGAAATAATCTAGAGACATAAAGAGAAATAGTACATTGTTTCTCTTAGCGTGAAATCTAAAAATTCTAACTCAGAAACAGATTGCAGAATGGTCATTACCAAGGGCTGGGAGGGTGAGGAAAATGAGAAGAAGTTGGTGAAAGGGTACAAACTTTCAGTTAGAAGAGGAATAAATTCTAGAGACGTAATGTATTTGCTAAGAGGGCAGATCTCAAGTGTTCTCACCACAAACACAAAAAGGTAAATATGTGATGTAATTTACATGTTAATTAGTTTTACTGTGGTAATCATTTCACAATGTATATGTGTATCAAAACATAACAATGTATACCTTAAATTTATACAATTTTTATTTGTTAAATCTTACCTCATAAAGCTGGAAGAAAGAAAAACAAGAGGTTGTTATTGACATAAAATACTGTATTATTCCTCTGCCGCCTTCACCAAGAAAAACTTAAAAAAAACCAAGCACTGTATAATGATTGGCAAAATGCTGTAGAGGATCAGTTTACATGGAACAAGCACAGCAGCAGAAAATGTTATTCTTGACATTAATAATAAATGTAAGTGTAAATGAAGTCAGGCCAATTACCAGAAAGAAGCATTACTCCTGCAGCCAAGGGGAACGGAAGAAGACCCTAACAGGTCCCTTTCTTTTTATTTCCCGAAAGCAGCCTTTTAAAGCAGTTTTGTCAGTCTTCCTGCAGATTTTCAGGCCCTGAGAAAATTAGGTTTTTCTAATTTCATCAGTTCTAAATTTATTACTTCCCAGAAACACAACTTTAATGTAGAGGCATCCCTAACCTCCAACTCTTTCTCTAAAGGAGGGGGAGAAAAAAGCCAAGAGTCTAACATGAATTTTAGCACAATTCATAGCTTAATATTTTTAAAAATATGTATAATATTCATTGAACTTGCAGCTTCTCATCTATAAAAGGATGATTCAAAACAGTGATAGTCATAGCAGCTTTTTTCTATTTTTTGAAATAAAACACAGCCTTACAGGTGAGGAGAAAGTTAATAAAGGATATACTCTTCCAATTTCTGTTCATCCGCTGAAAGCACTAGGTAATATATGTTCAAAATTACTTTTAATAAAATATAAACCAGTCTACTGTTAACACATCACATTGGGAAACTAATTAAAGAGAACACAGATTTTGCAAACTTGTTAATCTGAAAGGACTCTAAACTTCAACAAATTTCACCTTGGTGTGTTATGTTCTTCTTTGCACACAGATCTAAACTGGTTTTCAAAATGCTTAGTTATGCATGCAAATGAATATTGGTACAACCTGTGTGGCCAATGCTATCTCCTGATTTAATGATTTTTATTGCTTCTTGATAACAAGAATCTCATCACTTTTTTTCACTCTTGTATTTCCAAGGCTACACCCAATAGCTAGCATATTGTAAGTGCTCATTAAATGTTGGACTTAAGGAAAAATTATTTAATTCAAAAACATAGGTTATTCCTCCCAAACTCTGCCCCAAACTACACCCCATTTACACCAGTAGTGAAGCGATATCTGATAGTTAAAAGCATAAGATTTAATTTCTACCAGACCTAAGTCCTTGCTCCACCACATATTAGCTGTGTTTAACTTAGCTTCAGTTGTCTCATCTAAAATATAGAAATAATAAAAATAATTGCCCCATAAGGCTGTTGAGAGTCCAAAACAAGATAATCTTTCTCAAGCTGTGAGCAAACTAAGTGTAATAAAAGATGATTCTGAGAAGATGATGGTGATGGCAGTTTTTGAAACTCCCAGAATCTCCTTAGAGAAACAGAGCAACCTGACAGCAACACCAAAAAACCAGAGACAATATTTACAACTGCACTAGGTGACAAGGTGTTCTCATGATTCTTAAAACACAAGTGGTGGAGAAAAACACCACCCATAGCCACAAGACCAGGACGTTATCAAGGTCAGTGTGGAAATGAGCAGAGAGGCACAATAGGGTGGCTGAACCTGAAAACACAAGAATGCCAAAATAGCAAAGAAGTGTTCACAGGAAAGCACAGTAGGCAAAGTCGAGAAAGTAACTGAAATTGAGAGGCGTTTGGCCCCTTCCAAAAGTCAGTGAGCTCAAGGGGTCAGCTTTTATGACTGAAGCGACTACAGTAGTGTAGATTGATATACATTTGAAAATGACTAGCCAGGGCTTCCTTCTAGAGCAAGGCACTACACCAAGACAAAACTACAAAACTATCTTGCCTTCATCTGGAAGTTTAAGAAACCTAATTGTACATAAGCATGAGCAATGGAATATTATTGAGGACAATCTCACATAAGTTACTATAAGATTTAAAAAAAAAATAAGGAGCAGAATAGCATCCCTCCAGCTCATAAAAATTGATTAAAATGAATACTTACTATTTAAAAATAAGCTAACAGACATTAAGAAAATTATACAATACGTGAAAGAGCAATATAAAGCAGAGTTAGATATTGTTAAAAAAAAAACTTAAGTGACAACTAACAAAACAATTGGAAATAAAAGAAAAAATTAATTTCAAAAATGTTCCTTCTAAATTCAAAGGAATAGACAAATAAAGAAACAAAACAGATACAGGTCAAACAGAGGAAATTTCTTGACATGCAAAAAAAAAGAAATTAAAAAATATGATAATGATTTAATAAAAAGTGTCAAATGTTGAAAGCATGTAAACGCAAGTCAACATATAAATCACAAGAATCACTGAGGAAGAAATCAATAACAAGATAACTGAACAAATGCAAACTAAAAAAAAAATTGAAACAACATATTGAAATAACACACCAAGTTCCTGAGAACATCAATCCAGAATTACCAACACCAAGATACATACTTAAAAAAAAAAAAAAGAATTAAATAGGATTAACAAAAAAGAGAAAAAATCCTTGGAACGTCTAAGAGAAAGTGATTTCTGCAAACACAGTGTGAAGAGAAAGCCAGACATTGGCCAGAGACCTCAGAACTCAAGGAAAGACATGATGGTGAGCTCCCTGGGTTTTCTTTTTGCCTTATGTATCCCAGACTGGGTACTGGAAAAGCCAGTAACCTGGAAGCACCAACAGACCAAAAAAAAAAAAAAAAAGAAAGTCTTAACAAAAGCCTGTTCTCAGTAGCCAAACGTCCTGGAAAGAGACAGCTTACCAAGGGAGAGAATGTTAGATGATAACTTTTTAACTCCAGCCAAACACCACAGGAAAAAAATGCAGCCCCACCCAACACACACCAGCCAAGAGGAGGGTGTAGACTTCTACCATTGCCAAACTGTAACAAGGATCCTTAGCCCCCAGCCCCCGCTTCAGGTTGATATCAGAGAAGATTGTGCAGAAAGTAGCAATTAGTCACTCTTACTCTTCTCGGCCAAGGAAGTATCAGTGGAGACCTAGTGGAAAGCCAGAGCTCCCATCTTAAGCTAGCAATGACAAGCAACTCCCCCTTTCAGGTGCAAAGCTGAATGGAGAACCCAAAATTTATTGCCAGGCACAACCCTGTAGTAAGGAGGTGCCCTTCTTCCTCCCCACCAGAGTAGATGGTATCAGAGAAGACTTAGTGAAAAGTCAGGTCCCTCACTTCAGCACAACAGTAGTGAGGCTAGCCCCCCAGAGTTCAGGGAGGCCACGTAGTGAGTAGTAATGAGGCCACTCTGCCATTCCCTACAACAGATAACAGCAGAGGCCTAGTAGAAAAAAGGTATACCCTAGCCCCACCTAGCAGTAAGTAGGAGCCCCTGCACCTCCTGTGTGTTAACAGAAGTTGAGTGGGAAATTGGGATTTCCGCTATCCCTGGAAATAATGAGGCAGTGCCCCCTTTCTCACTGGAGTGGTGTCAGATAAGGCCTACTAAAGCAGAAAATTTAAATGAAGTTTGGAGTTTCATAACAAAATTCTGAAAATGTCCAGATTTCAATTGAAAATCACTCATCCTACCATGAAGCAGGGAAATCTCCATGTAAAAGTGATAAAGCAAGCAACAGACACCAACACCAGAATGACAGAATTGTTAGAATTATTTGGGAAGAATTTTAAAACAGCCATCATAAAAATCTCCCAACAAGCAACCACAAACACATTGAAACAAATGAAAAAAAAAAAATAGAAAGTTTCTGCAAAGATATGGAAAGTCCCAGAAAAAACAAAAGATATAAATAAGAGTCAAATGATAAATGTATGAGGTGACAAATATGTTAAATATCCTAATTTGATCATTATACAACCTATAGATGTATCAAAACATAAAATTGTACCCTATAAAACTGTATAATCATAATGGATCAATTATAAAAGAATCAAATGGAAACTCAAATAAAAAATACAATAACAAAAATAAAAACTCAGTGGATGGGTTTAACAGCAGAATGGAGAGGACCATTCTGGAGAGGAAAAGATCAGAGAATCTTTTGGAGAGGAAAGAATCAAAGAAATTGAAAAAAATCATATTTAATCTATTTGAACAACAGAAAGAAAATAGCCTATAAAAAAATTAACAGAGCCTGAAGTTCGTGTAGGATTATAACAAAAGATCTAATGTTCATTTCTTCAGAGTTCTGGAGAGAAGAAAGAGGGTAGGGCTAAAAAGGTATCTGAAGAAATAATAGATGAAAAATTTACAAATCTGGCAAACAAAACACAAACCTACAGATCCAAGAAGCTGAATGAATACAGTTAAATCTATTTTTTTGTAAGGACTTCTCAGAACATTGACTATGCTAATATGCATTTGAAATCAAAATTTCGTAAATTGATTAGATATACAACCATTTTTTTTCATAACTGTAGTTAGGGTTCATGCCACTACCTCCCACATGGGCTTAAATTTACATTCTGTATTGTTTCCTTTGGCTTTTCTCTTCTTATTCTTTTTTGTTGTTGTTGTTTTTGAGATAGAGTCTCGCTCTGTTGCCCAGGTTGGAGTGTGGTGGCACGATCTGGGCTCACTGCAAGCTCCGCCTCCTGGGTTCACGCCATTCTCCTGCCTCAGCCTCCCGAGTAGCTGGGACTATAGGCTTCCACCAACACACCTGGCAAATTTTTTTATATTTTTGTCAGAGGCGGGGTTTCACCATGTTAGCCAGGATGGTCTTGATCTCCTGACCTCGTGATCTGCCCGCCTCGGCCTCCCAAAGTGCTGGGATTACAGGCATGAGCCACCGAGCCTGGCCTTCTTTTCTTCTTCTTTCTCTTTTCTTTTTTTTTTCACAAGAAATGTTGGGAATCCAATGACAGTAGCTTTTTTTACTTAAGAAGTGTAAGCAACATTGAATCAGGAAGGATGGACTTTCTTGAGGCCTTCTAGTATCACAGCAGGTAGCCTCCCTCTGAAGGATGTGTGATAAACACTGTCCAATGAAACAGGTTCTCATCAGGCCCACTGTGGTTTGAAAACCTGCCTAAACCCTAGTAGCAGATTCCTGGATAGTGAAGGTGATGGAGAGTCTGGGTATATAAGGTAATAGGTGCAGAAAACCAAACCCAATTTAGGGTTCCTTCAGCCAGTTGGTCCCCTGTGAAATGGATATATATTTGAATCAAGAAGTGAATTCTTGGAAGCCCAAGAATGGGTAGCCTTGGACAGCTGAGCTTATTCACAGTGAGTAGTATAATCATTCTCTTTGGAAGAACCCTAAGCGATTGTATTGAGTTCCGGATCTACACTGGTCTGTGTCCTCTACCACAGTATGTAAGACTAGTGTTCGACAACTGCATCACATGACAGCCAGGAGCAGTGGCCATAGCAGACTGATCAAAAGTAATTGCAAAATATCCAGGCAGTTCATTTAATCAAATGCTGCCTAATCTCTGATCACCTGAACACATAATCAGCTACACACTTCTGCCCACTTGAGAATTATTGATTCCCATTAAAACAAATACAGGTCCAGGTGACACATATTATAATTATCATAGGTAATGTAATTACTGCATGCGAATTGATTGCTATAACTAGTTTATGGTTATTTGTATGAGAGAGAGAAGTAAATTGCAATGTTTGGGGGAAAAAAAGATTAAGACAACATATCCCTCAGCAAAGAGGAAGACACATTAAGTTAACAATATATGTCAACATGACACATGTCTTAAGATATATTAACTGAACAATTCCTAGTAGCAGATTTTGAATTACTTCAGTATGAGGAGAAGGGAGGACTAGATATGGAAAAAAGAGGAAGAGAACATAGAAGATTCAAAGAGAGGAATGGAAAGAAGGGAAAGAAAAAGGAGAGACACAATAGAAGAAAAGAGAGGAAAGGGAAGAGAAAGGAGCCGACTTCACACAGAAAATTAATCTAATATTATAATAATAGTGCTATGTATTATAGTATTGCTCATCAAAAGAACATAGCTCTATACTATAATACAGGTATATTCCATTCCAAGATTTTTCTCTGGTTTTAAATTTTAAAATTTTAACTTCTAAAAAGAATTGGCTTTGATATCCTCACAGCTCATAAATGAAAAAAACAACAACAAAAGTGCCATTATATCATGGGAGATACAAAGATGAATAAGAATGGTTTCTCTCCAGATAAAATTATTTTTGTGAGAGTTTTTTACAGTTTTTAAATAATTTTCAATAGTTTTTTAATAGACCATTATTTTGGAAAGACCATTGGGTCTTTCAAAATGAACCTTAACACAAATTTTGTGCATTTTGTGAAATGCAAAAAAAAAAAAAAAGTCACTTCATGGTAATACTTGTTTCAAACATTTTGTTTCTCTTTTTTTCTAATGACTCTTGTTGTATTTCTCAAAATGAAAATGAATGTTTCCATAAAATTCCTAATATTTATTATAGGCAAATTATGTATGAAGCATTTTTCCATCATACAATGTAAAATCTTCATAGTGGGTAGTATGAATCATTTGTAATATAAATTAAATACAAACTTTAAAAAATACCAACCTGAGAAATTATAAAGCTTTTATATAAATAATGAGTAGATTTAAAATAAATAAGCACCTGTCCATTGTCATCCAGACATAAGGTAAGCAGTAGACACTCATTAAGTTTAATAATATAACCCAATTTAATGTTATTTGATTAAGAAGAAATATGTCTGGGTCAAGTGTGGTGGCTCATGCCTGTAATCCCAGCACTCTGGGAGAATGAGGCAGGTGGATCACTTGAGGTCAGGAGTTCCAGACCAGCCTGGACAACGTGAAATCCCATTTCTACTAAAAATACAAAAATTAGCTGGACATGGTGACAGGCACCTGTAATACCAGCTGCTTGGGAGGCTGAGGCAGGAGAATCTCTTGAACCCAGGAGGCAGAGATTGCAGTCACTTGAGATCACTCCATTGCACTCCAGCCTGGGTGACAGAGGAAGACTCCATTTCAAAAAAGACAATGTTAAATCATTCCTTTTGTAGGAGACAATTTTCATTTTTGGCCTGGCCCTATCTAAAATATTTCAGTTAATTTTTTATCATGATGATATTAGGGAGTGAATTGGATTGAATACATTGCCAATTCATTTGCTCAGGCAAACTTTTAGACAGCTGAGAGCAAGGTTTTAATTACATACAACATAGTAAGACAGAATGATGGCCCCCAAAGATGTCTGAGCTCCAATTCCAGAACCTGTGATTATGTTATCTCACATAGCAAAAGTGACCTTGGCAGATGTGATTAAGGTTAAGGTCCTTGAGATGGAGAGACTCAAGGACCTGGGTTAGGCAGGTGGGCCCAATCTAATCACATGAGTGCTTAAAAAAGGACAACATTTCCCAGATCTAGTCAAAGGGAGACATGAGGTGAAGAAGGGTGAGAGAAATGCAGAGTCGCTTTGAGGATGGAGGAAGAGACATGAGCCAAGGAAGGTGGAAAAGGCAAGGAAATGGCTTCTCCCTTAAAGGATCCAGAGGAAATAAACCTATTGTCACCATGATTTTAGTCCACTGAGTTCTGTTGGGCCTTTAACCTTCAGAAATATAAAATGATAGATTTGTGTTGTTCTTAGCCACTAATTTGTGATACCGTGTTACAGCAGCAATAGAAAACTTACATACACATAAATATGGCTCAGTTGCTACATCTTGACACTAACATAGTATCAGTGACATACATAAAGAATGAATTTTAAAATGGTTGATTCATACATAATTTAATAGAAAGTTAGCACATTTATAATTCAATTAAATCTTTATTAACTTTATTTCTCTAAACTACTTTGAATTCTTAGATATTTACTATTTTAGTGGGTATAATTGAAAATGGTATCCCCCAAAAATTGGCAGTTGAAACTGCCAGAATTTTTAAATGAGTTGTTCTATTTCTTCCTTACCTCATTCCATAAAATCTACTTTCAAGAAGGGGTTGAGGTTAACTGTGCTGAAATAAGCTTCTCTGAGCTAATCACTAAAAGAAATAGATTCATAAGGAATGAAGCCAGATAGGAAAGTGAGGGAAGAGGCATCTGTTGTCCTCACTGTGGTGGTATATATCCCCGTGGGAGGCTGAAAAACATCTGTGCTTCATGAAACCCTTCCGTGAAAGAATTATGCGTCTCTACCAGACATTTCAAGCTCTTTAAAAAAAGATGCATTTTAAAAAGACAATTTTCCATACTAGCATTTAACTTAGCATTTGGCTTAGTTTTATTCTGAATTAATTTAAGTTTCCTATGAAGTAGATTTCAAGCTAGATGTGGATTTCTGCTCGTTTTATAAAGCATACCCTTTCCCTGTGAAATGGTAAATCCATGAGTTTGGAAGACAGGAAAGAAGACAAGAAGGTTGTATTTAAAAGTTAAGTCCGGATATAAGCAAAAACAAACAAAAATCTCAGCAAAATCTCCATTTCAGTTGGAATATGGCAATGTTCTTTGAAGAATGCAAAGCCTCCAGGGGAAAAATAGGGTTTGAGTATGGTTTTCCCTGAATGTCGTAAATTAAACTTTTTATTTATTTTTTATTTTTATTTATTTATTTATTTTGAGACGGAGTCTCACTCTGTCACCCAGGCTGGAGTGCAGTGGCACGATCGCAGCTCACTGCAACCTCCGCCTCCCGGGTTCGAGCAATTCTCCTGCCTCAGCCTCCTGAGTAGCTGGGATTATAGGCATGCGCCACCACACCCAGCTAATTTTTGTATTTTTAGTAGAGATGGGGTGGTTGGTCAGGCTGATCTCGAAACCCTGACCTTGTGATCCACCCGCCTGGGTCTCCCAAAGTGCTGGGATTACAAGCGTGAGCCACCACACCCGGCCTGACAAATTAAACTTTAAGCATGTAAAACCTAGTAGATTTCCATTTCTGTTAATATGGAAAAATAACCAGAAAACTCTCCTGCTACAAAACCCATAGAACTGCTGAAGAAAATATAGCAACACTCCTTTATGTGTATTACTTAGATCATAAGAAAAGGAAAGCAATCCTTAGAGGAACAGCACAAAAAAAGTCCTGACATCAAGGTTGCCCTAGTGATGATGTTGTGGTGGCGGGTGTGCAGGTTATGGGAGGACTTATGGTTCCTCAAACCAAGGGGCCTGTGATTCAATTGCAAGGAAAGAACACAAGGCACAAGGCTAAGGTCTTAGGTTCACTTGAAGTGGGAATTTGGAAATGAGATCCCTTGAACAAAGCCAAGACTTTGAAGAAGCATACATATGTTGGATTTTAAAAAATGCCATCAGAACAGTGAGATTCCAAGGAACTATGCCTATGTTAGTCTGGTCTCTGGATGGGGGGCGGGAGAAGGGCTCTCCTGAGAACTTATAAATGCAGATTTTCATTTTAACAGGTTATGGTCTGAATTTATACTACTCACATGATCCACGGATACCTAAAGTAAAATATTAAAGTAAAAAGTGGTCCCCAGAAGGTAATACTCCCGGGTTGCCTTAGCAGTGGTAAACTCAAAACTTGTCTAGGAGGAATGTTCAATCCAGGCAGAAGAGGATTCCTACAGATAAATTATCTCTGAAGATTAGCTCAGAGTTCAAAATTTGCCGTAGAAAAGAGTCAACAGCCACAACAAATAGCTCTGGTGTTACTCCAAGAACTTTTAAGAATCATTAAGTAGATAAAAAGAACTATCTTTAAATTGATTAAAGAAACAGTACCAAATAATGTTTAAAAAACTAAGGAAAGAACATTATGACAAAAGTTCACACATATTCTTAAAGAGATTAAACTAATAAAAATGAATAAATACATAGGTGTTGAAACTAAAAGCTAGCAGAATATTTATTAAAAAAGTGAAAACCTCTGGAGTGATATGATTCTAATGAGTAAAAATCTATTAAAACGGTTTTAATAAGGTAGAGTAAAAATTAGGACAGTCATGCCACACAGATTTCACTTTATTTTAAAGTCTCCCCTGATTTAAAAATAATACTATAATAATCCTAAGGTTAAAGAACATCATTGACTTACAGATATCCAGATGTATATTTTGTAGTAAAAAAACTGAAAAGCAATTTTCATATGAAGTATGCAGTAGTAAATTGAGATGATTTTCCAGATTAAACTAAAGACTTCGAATGTAACTTTAGATATTAATAACGCAATAAGAACACAGTCTACATATATAATAAATATCTCTATAAATATGAGCAATTTTCTATGATATGTTTTGTTTACAGATTATAACATATAGTATTTTTCACATACACATATATTCTTCATTTTATTAAATTGGCTTTATTGGTGGTTGATATGGTTTGGCTCTGTGTCCCCACCCAAATCTCATCTTGTAGCTCCCATAATTCCCATATGTTGTGGGAGGGAACTGATGGGAGATGACTGAATAGGGGGGTGGGTCTTTCCCGTACTGTTCTCCGGACAGTGAATGGGTCTCCTGAGATCTGATGGTTTTAAAAACGGGAGTTGGGCCCCGCAGCTGGCTCCACTTAGTTCTCTGCCTCCGCACAGCAGCCCCGGCCATAGCCACCTCCTAGCCCACTGCCACCACCTCTAAGCATAAGATGGCTGTGCCACCCATGTATGCCAATCTTGGCAAGTCTGCCAGGGATGTCTTCACTAAGGGCTATGGATTTGGCTTAATAATGCTTGATTTGAAAACAAAATCTGAGAATGGGTTGGAATTTACAAGCTCAGGCTCAGCCAACACTGAGACCACCAAAGTGACGGGCAGTCTGGAAACCAAGTACAGATGGACTGAGTACGGCCTGACGTTTACAGAGAAATAGAACACGGATAATACACTAGGCACCGAGATTACTGTGGAAGATCAGCTTGCACGTGGACTGAAGCTGACCTTCGATTCATCCTTCTTACCTAAGACTGGGGGAAAAAAGATGCTAAAATCAAGACAGGTTACAAGCAGGAGCACATTACCCTGGACTGCAACATAGATTTCGACATTGCTGGGCCTTCCATCCGGGCTGCTCTGATGCTGGGTTACAAGGGCTGGCTGGCCGGCTACCAGATGAATTTTGAGACTGCAAAGTCCGGAGTGACCCAGAGCAACTTTGCAGTTGGCTGCAAGACTGATGAATTCCAATTTCACACTAATGTGAATGACGGGACAGAGTTTGGCGGCCTCATTTACCAGAAAGTGAACAAGAAGTTGGAGACTGCTGTCAATCTCACCTGGACAAGCAGGAAACAGTAACACGCATTTCAAAATAGCAGCCAAGTATTTGATTGACCCTGAAGCCTGCTTCTTGGCTAAAGTGAACAACTCCAGCCTGATAGGTTTAGGATACACTCAGACCCTAAAGCCAGGTATCAAACTGACACTGTCAGCTCTTCTGGATGGCAAGAACGTCAATGCTGGTGGCCACAAGCTTGGTCTAGGACTGGAATTTCAAGCATAAATGAATACTGTACAATTGTTTAATTTTAAACTATTTTGCAGCATAGCTACCTTCAGAATTTAGTGTATCTTTTAATGTTGTATGTCTGGGACGCAAGTATTGCTAAATATGTTACCCCTCCAGGTTAAAGATGATTCAGCTTTAAGATGTTACCCTTTCAGAGGTACAGAAGAAACTCATTTCCAAAAAAGGCCCTTTCAGTGGTAGACTTGGGGGAACTTGGCAGCCACTTTGAGATGCCAGGTGTCTTTTTTCTCTAGAAATGGCTGCAAGTGGAAGCTGATAATATGTAGGCGCTTTGTAAGTTCATATTGAGTAAATGAATGAAATTGTGATTTCCTGAGAATCGAACCTTGGTTTCCTAACCCTAACTGATGAGGGGCTTGCTGCTTGATGGTGTGTACAAACTCACCTGAATGGGACTCTTTTAGACAGAGCTTCATGACCTTTTCCCAGCCCAGTTCATCGTTACCTCTTTTACACCAAAAGGTCTGCAGGGTGTGGTCACTCTTTCTTTTGTGCCATTTTGGGGTGGAGAGGGTGGATGTGATGAAGCCAATAATTCAGGACTTATTCCTTCCTGTGTTGTGTTTTTTAGCCCTTGCACTAGAGTATGAAATAGCTTCCAGGAACTCCAGCTATAAGCTTGGAAGCGTCTGTGTGATTGTAATCACATGGTGACAACACTCAGAATCTAAATTGGACTTCTGTTATATTCTCACCCTTCAATTTGTTTTTTAGCAGTCTAATGGGTACATTTTAGAGTCTTCCATTTTCTGTGGAATTAGATCCTCCCCTTCAAATGCTGTAATTAACATCACTTAAACTTGAATAAAATATTGAAACCTAAAAAAAAGAAAACAACAACAACAACAGGAGTTACCCTGCACAAGCTCTCTTTTTGCCTGCTGCCATCCACATAAGGTGTGACTTGTTCCTCCTTGCCTTCCACTATGATTGTGAGGCTTCCCCAGCCATGTGGAACTGTAAGTCCTATAAACCTCTTTCTTTTATAAATTGCCCAGTCTCAGGTATGTCTTTATCAGCACAATGAAAATGGACTAATACAGTGGTATAAAAGGTTAAGTGGTAGATCCAGAAAATAACCTATAATTTCTGATTCCAAATCATTTTTTTTCTAATGAATCATTTTTTTGCAACAGCAAGCAGTGGGGGACTTATCAGGTAGCCACATTTTTTTTAACCAGATACTGCATCATTGTAGACTTCCAGAGCACTTAGGAAACCACAACTATAAATCTTTGTTGAATATACAATTTCGGCAAGGACAAGCCAAATTTTTCTTGAATAATTGAAACCATAGCCCAGATAGGAACCAGTGTGATGGAACTTGGTTCTCCTTCATTTTTTCCTTAATCAATTCTTCATTCAATGATTGAATGGGGAGTGAGATAAAATCACACATAACCTGTCAGTCATAGCACTGTCGAGTTAGCTATTAAATATTTACAAAATGTAAGACTGCCACTGTACTGTGAGTTTCTTGAGGAATGAGAACAAATCTTGCTCACTATATATATATATATATATATTTATATATTCAATGTATATATATATTCAGTGCATAAATATATTCAGTGTATATAAATATATTCAGTGTATATATATATTCAGTGTATATATATATATTCAGTGTATATATATATATATTCAGTGTATATATATATATATTCAGTGTATATATATATATATTCAGTATATATATATATATAAAATATATACACTGTGTACAACCTCACACAGGACTTCAAAACTAGTAGACACTCAGTGATATTTACTGAATTGACAAATTAACTAAATTCAACTGCTATTCATTTCTTTCTTTTTAAATATATAAAAGTAGTAATACAGTTTTATAATTTGACATGTGTTACATATCTTTCATCAAAGCAACATAAAATGCTCTATACAGATCTCCAGTTTGGGGCTGGGCATGGTGGTTCATGCCTGTAATCCCAGAACTTTGGGAGGGCGCAGCGGGATGATCTGTTGAGCTCAGGAGTTGGAGACCAGCAAGGCCAATGTAGTGAGACCTTGTCCCTACTATAAACAACAACAAAATTTAGCCAGTGTGAGCCTGTAGTCCCAGCTACTCAGAAGGCTGAGGCAGGAGGATTGCTTGAGCTCATGCCACTGCACTCCAGCCTGGGCGAGATCCTGTCTCAAAACCAAACCAAACTAAAACAAAACGAAAAAACCCTCCAGCTTTTTAAAATTGTCACTTGCTGAAATTACTTCCCTAAGATATCCATCAAAAGATACAGAGCTAGAAAGAGCTGTGAATACTGTCGAGAAATCATTAAAATGTGATATAGATTGGTCAAGGAAACATTCCTGCTTTGGGTCAGCTTGAGAGCCTTTGCTTTGAAAGAAGTGCTGAGTATTGCTGGTGGAGAAGTGTATAGAGGGCAGTTCAGAAAGATGGAATTGCCTGACCTAGGATTCCAAGACTATTTTAATAACATAAATACTCTGGTTCAGGTTAGAGCTGTCAGCTTTTAAAATGCTAAAATTTCTACTCCACTTCTTGCTTTCATTCAATTGAGTTTTGTCCTAAACTTAGGGTAAACAGCCAAAGCTGTTTTTACTTCTCAGAAATTAGACACCAAACGTATTCTTGCTAATTTTAAACTAGGGCATTTAAAGATAAGATATCATTTGGTAATCTCATCAGTGCCTGCCCATTTTTTGATGCAATCCTCAAACTGTTGACTGTTGAGACAGCTTGATGAGTCAAATTTTTGAAAATTGTATTAACTCACTGCTTTTTAAAATGTTTGCCTTTAGATATAGCATTAAACAATTGGATTGGTTGCTATATGACTGTTTTGTTATTCAGTAATTACCATTTGGTCATAATTTCATTGGCAGTGAAGATAAGGCATACTTCAATATTTTGCTTTTAAATTATTTGTAGGAACATCTATGATGACTGTAGCTCCACGGATTTGTAATCACTTTATGGAGAAACAGAGCATCTCTTTGCAGTAAATAAAACAGCACACACTCTGAACATTAGAAAAACAAGTCAAATGAAGGGGAACAGCATATAATAATGTTAAGGTCCTTAGTGTGGGAGTGAAGGGATCTGAATTTTAGTCCCAGCCCTGTTACTAACTAGTTGTGTCTCTTTGAGCAAGCCATTTTTATTCTCTGAGCTTTTGTTTCCTTATCTATAAAATTATATGCTCCATTTTCACGGTAAAAAGAATATAATATGAATGGCATTGGCAGGCAGGAAAAGCGGAAATACATTAAAGAAGACAATATAAAAAGTAAAACAGCCTGCCGTTACTCTTTCTTGTCTTGCATTTACACTTTAACAAAAGTATTAAGTTGCCTTAATATTCTTAAGCAATGAAATTGTTATAGGTTAATTTAAACCCCAGAAGGCTAATTTTGCCAGTTTCATAGTCCATATCTTGCCAAACAGAATTTGTGACACCTCACTCTCAAGAACAAACCTACTGAATTTTATTATGGTTATCTATTCACAACTGATACCCTGTTCATGTTTGTTACAAGCATATTAACATGATGTCATTAGTATATGATATGTTCAGTCTGAATTTTATCTCGAACACCATTAAAATAGTTTTACAATGCATTCAGATATACAGAAAATTCAACATATTTGATTTATTATTACATTTTAAACAGACAAAAATGCCCTTGTGGAAGGCTCATATACAATAATAAATGCAGATATGAAGTATTGAATTACACATATCATATACCTCAAATCATCAGAGATAGGTCTAGAATTAGGCTATGCCCTGAAATATTGGAAGAATCCTGGAAACTGAGAAAAATGATAGCAGCTGCTGTCATTGATGGTGGCACCAAACCAAACTGCGATGTCTAGAAGTATTAATCACAGAGCCCTGAGCCCTGATCCCTGTCTTTATCACCATCTCAAAAACCAGAGGGTAAAGATGTAAGATGAATAAGCAAAATACCATGAGGAAGTTTGAGTGGACAAGAGGAAGAGATTGAGGATCAGACAGACAGCAAGGGGATAGCAGCTGCCCACAGAATATAAGTAGGGAGAAATAGGGAGATTCCTCTTTCACCTATTCAAGAAACATCCCTTGTGCACCTATTATGTGCCAGACACTACTGGGTGTTGTTAATACAAAAATGAATTTGATCTAACCATGCTTATCACAGAGCTTCCTGTACAGCAAAGTGAGGCAGGGACACATAAATCTTGAAACACATTATGGTAAGTGTTACAATGAAGAGATGTGCGAAGTGTGATTGGTAGCCCAGAAAAACAATCAACCTCCCCGGAGACTCAGGAAACTCTTCACATAGGAATTATTACATGAGTTGGGGCTTAGTAGAAGAATAAGCATTTTCCAGGTAAGGGAGAAAGTCAAAGTGAGTATAGGCAGAGAAAAGCACAGTCATAAGAAAGGGACCCGAAAGACCACTCAGGCTAACGGGACTAGGTATAACTTGCTCTGCTGCAGCTCTTGGTGTATGTTGTGGAGGCAGGATGTTAACAAAAAGTGGAAAAGAACGGACTGGGAAAAGCAGACTGGAACAGAGTGATGAAACTTCTCATCTGCCATGTTAGAGTTTGGATCTTACCCCTCATGCAATAGAGAAGTGAATAAGATTTACAAAGGAGGGTTATACGATCAGAACTGTTTTCTTAGATTGCTGAATCTGGGGAAAGGGTGGAGGGTTATTTGGACAGGGACAATTTACAACTTGAAGGAGAAAACAATTAGGAGCCTGGATTACAACTGTCTAAGGAAGGTTTAAAAATCCAAATGCTTTTGAAGGCCTCAGAAATCATGCAAATTTAAAGCAGAACCCAGCACACTCACCCTGCCCCCAGGTATTACATTCAAATGTTTAATAAAGGAAACAAACTATGCTGGCCATGTATGATTTAGGATGGAATTAGGTTGAGATGCCAGTTTTTTAGATCATATGTAGGAGAAAGGGTGATGACATTGTAAATTATGGCATGGAGAAATGAGAAAAAAGAGAAGATGAATTCAAGGTCTCTTTGAGTGATGAGTGAGACTGACTGTTCCTGCTACTTCTGAATCACTAGGAAATCAGGATATTCACTACAAATGCTTAACATGTGCTCATTGACTCAGTTCACTCATAGCTAAGGAGAAAGCAAGAGAGAAGTCTTTGCCCCTTCTACACTGCCATTGAAACAAAATCCTGCATAGATACAGTTATAAGTCAATGTGGTTTGGGGTATTTCTTTCTTTAACATATTGAAAATAATTTGGGTCTAGCAATAAAGAAAATTAGCTAGTCTTAGTCAGAAGCTGTTTTATTTGTACAGTTATCTATTTTTGTAAGACTGACAGTGGCTGAATTAAGCACCTGGGCAAAAACACAAAATAAACAACCATGCTACAGCAATGACAAGAGGCCAACAGACTATATAATTAGAAGTGATTTTCTTTTTATTTGTTAAAAGAGATTTTCAATTACAACTCTATGATAATTTTATACAATTAACCTTCTTACTCTTGCAACTTATATCTAAATAGATATATTTCCTACAACCGTAGTGTGGCAGGAAAGGATGCAGACATGGTGTCTACTTAGACTTGGAGTGAGGGAAACATAAATGAGGAAGTACAGATACTTGATTCTAAGGGTTGAACAATTTCTGGACAAAAGAGGAATTCTAATGGATAAGAATAATGGATTGAATACCAGTAGTTATCTCAAAACCAAAGTGGAGCATTAATATGGCTTTTCTTCACTTAAGCTAACCTGATCACAAATAATTACGGAGGTAATATGGATAAATATAATCTTAAAAACTACTATAAGTGGTAAAAAGCACCATATGTGATTCTGATAAATTTAAACACACAATTTAAGTGCATTTCCTGGTTTTAAAAATGGCTGCAATTTACATGTATTACTGGCATAAATATAGAATGTCTCATATGTATCGGTGATTAATGAATAAGCTAACTGAACAAGTGGCTAGATAGCATAAAAGAAAGAACAGTAAACTTCACATCAGAAGACCAATATAATCTTCAGGGCTGAGTGAGAAGTTAAGAGTCTTGGTCATATCACAGCTAGCCATTTGCTGTGCAAGACATTTAACCTCTGTGTTCAGATCTCTCTTTTTTGAAGAGAGATTAGGAAAGGCCAAATAGCAAACCAAGAGTTCTAACAAAAAGTCTATCATTCAATACCCTTATAGAAGAAAGAAAGTATGTCTGGCCTTGAAGAGGAACATCAATTTGGATGAAAAATTCAATTATCCTGAGCTGGAAATCCAAGTCTCTTATACATCTACATAATAATGAAAATAACTGTGCTATCAAAATTACATCTATTTTATTTTTTTCCTGTGCCAAAGCAAAAACACACTTAATAACCAGGGGTCACAAATTCAAGGCAGCCATGCTGTTTCAGGAGCCTAGCAAAAATCATAAATATGAGCCAGGTGTGGTGGCGCATGCCTGTAGTCCCAGCTACTCAGAAGGGTGAGGTGGGAGGATTACTTGAGCCTGGGAGGTTGAGGCTACAGTTAGCCCTGATCGCACCACTGCACTACAGCCTGGGCGACAGAGTGGGACCCAGTCTCAAAAACAACAACGAAAAGAAAATAATAAATATGTAAAGACCCTCAAATATAAAATAATATGACATGATGGGTCTATGGCTAATAAGAGAGTACATATCTCCCAATAGCCTTCACAATCAATTTTTTTTTCCTAAAGACTGCCTCTCAAAGCCCATCTCTGTCTACATGTGGGCAGTGGGCCATAAGATTGTGACTCCCAGTCTTAAGCTGTCTATTATTGATAGCATTTAAGTGTCTTCTTTCATTTGGATATTGATGTTGTTCTCACAAGTCAGTAAACTACCTTATCAATGATCAATTTCTTCATCTTACTTGATGCTATCAACAGCATTTAACCCAGTTGATCCTTTCCCCCTGCTTGCTAGCTTTCTTCACCTGGCTCCCTGGATACCACACATTCAGGTTTTCCTCTTACTTTTACAGCCATTCCTGAGTCCCCTTGACTAGTTTCTTCCCTTCTCCTAGATCTCCAAAAGCTGGAGGTCTCTAAGGTTTCTTCCCTTTTGTATCTACACACTCATTTCTTTGGTGATAACCGGTCTCATGTCTTTAAATAACAACCATATGCTGTCAACTACCAAGTTTATATCTCCAGCCAGGACCACTCTCCCAAACTCCAATTTCCTATATCCAACTGCCCATTCAGCATCTCTACATAGATATCTAATTGACATCTTAAGATTAAGACGTCCAAAACTGAACTCCTGATCCATGTGCATTCTTACCAATCACAGTTGATAGTAACTATTCTTTCAGTTGTCAAAGCCAAAAATCTTTGTGTCATCTTGACATCTCTATTTTTCTTACATTTCACATTTTGGTCTATTAAGGTATCATCCTAGGTGTTTCCTAATAAATATAGAAACTGACCACTTTTCACCACCTTCATTGCTTCCATCCTTGTGCAAGCCACCATTCTCTCCTGAAGAGTACTACAGTAGGTCTCTGCTTGCATCATTACCCCATATGTACTATCCTCAATAGCAGCCAGAGCGATCCTATTAAAACTCAAGTAAAAGGCCAGGCGTGGCGGCTCATGCCTGTAATTCCAGCACTTTGGGAGGCCGAGGCAGGCGGATCACCTGAGTTCAGGAGTGAGAGACCAGCCTGACCAACATGGAGAAACCCCATCTCTACTAAAAATACAAAATTAGCCGGGCATGGTGGCACGAGCCTGTAGTCCCAGCGACTTGGGAGGCTGAGGCAGGAGAATCAATTGAACCCGGGAGGTGGAGGTTGCAGTGAGCCGAGATCGGGCCATTGCACTCCAGCCTGGGCAACAAGAGTGAAAGTGTCTCAAAAAAAAAAAAAGAAAAGAAAAAGAAACCCAAGTAAAATTATTTCACGCCTCTAGGCAAAGGCCTGCCATGTCTCCATGTTTTACTTGGAATCAGGCCATTGTAGCTTCTTATAAGGCCTTTCCAAATATCTCCCTTGCCACCACCATCTTCCCTGTCATTTCCTCTCCTATCACTGCCCCCTAGTTCAAGTTGCTTTAGCCACACTGAACACCTTACGATTCCTTGAACATACCTGTAATGTTTTTATATAACTCTTAGTTATTCCCTCTGCAGGAAGATTATTCCCCTGGATATTTACTTGACAAAATCCCTTACCACATTAAATGTGGGCTCCATATTCTACCTTCTCAATGAGCAAACCCTGACCACTTGCAAAACAGTCACAACCACACCACTGACACTGCTAATCCCATTTATGGTGCACCACAAAGGTTATCAATTTCTAACAGTCTCTATACTTTGCACTCACTGTCACTTAACACAAAATTGATGATTTTTCTTTAATGAGAGCTTTTATATATTTCTCAAGATAATTAATATATAAATATCTAAGTAAATCATGTATAGATAATGGTGAGATTTATCTACAATTAATAAAAATAAATCATGTATAACTGGCTGACACTGATATACAGTTAATCAGTCATCCATTTACATTTTAACATTCTTAAAGCTTTGCTATTATATAAAAAAATATTTTTTTCCAGATTTATAAAAAGTTTTCTCCTACCGTAAAACAGAATAAAGAACTGATACAAATGTGAAATAAACCCAATATAAAGGTTTTGCAAAATGCCTGTTAATTTTACTTTTCCTTTTGTTAAATTTACTTTTTAATTGACAAGTAAAAGTTGTAGGCTGGGCATGGTGGCTCACACCTGTAATCCCAGTACTTTGGGAGGCCAAGGCGGGTGGATCACCTGAGGTCAGGAATTCGAGACCAGCCTGGCCAACATGGTGAAACATCATCTCTACTAAACATACAAAAATTAGCCAGGCATGGTGGCGGGCACCTATAATCCCAGCTACTTGGGAGTCTGAGGCAGGAGAATTGCTTGAACCCAGGAGGCAGAGGTTGCAATGAGCCGAGATCCTGCCACTGCACTCCAGCCTGGGCGACAGAGTGAGACTCTGTCTCAAAAAAAAAAAAAAAAAAAAAAGTTGTATATACTTATGGTGTGCAATATGGTTTTTCTGTATGTATACATTATGAAATGGCTAAATCAAGCTATTTAACACACATTAGCTCACATACTTATCATTTTTTGTGTGGTGAGAACACTTACAATCTGTCACCAGCAATTTTTTTTTTAATTTTTTTTTTATTATACTTTAAGTTTTAGGGTACATGTGCACATTGTGCAGGTTAGTTACATATGTATACATGTGCCATGCTGGTGCGCTGCACCCACTAACTCGTCATCTAGCATTAGTTATATCTCCCAATGCTATCCCTCCCCCCTCCCCCCACCCCACCACAGTCCCCAGAGTGTGATATTCCCCTTCCTGTGTCCATGTGATCTCATTGTTCAATTCCCACCTATGAGTGAGAATATGCGGTGTTTGGTTTTTTGTTCTTGCGATAGTTTACTGAGAATGATGGTTTCCAATTTCATCCATGTCCCTACAAAGGACATGAACTCATCATTTTTTATGGCTGCATAGTATTCCATGGTGTATTTGTGCCACATTTTCTTAATCCAGCCTATCATTGTTGGACATTTGGGTTGGTTCCAAGTCTTTGCTATTGTGAATAATGCCGCAATAAACATACGTGTGCATGTGTTTTTATAGCAGCATGATTTATAGTCCTTTGGGTATATACCCAGTAATGGGATGGCTGGGTCAAATGGTATTTCTAGTTCTAGATCCCTGAGGAATCACCACACTGACTTCCACAATGGTTGAACTATACTACAAGGCTACAGTAACCAAAACAGCATGATACTGGTACCAAAACAGAGATATAGATCAATGGAACAGAACAGAGCCCTCAGAAATAACGCCGCATATCTACAACCATCTGATCTTTGACAAACCTGAGAAAAACAAGCAACGGGGAAAGGATTCCCTATTTAATAAATGGTGCTGGGAAAACTGGCTAGCCATATGTAGAAAGCTGAAACTGGATCCCTTCCTTACACCTTATACAAAAATCAATTCAAGATGGATTAAAGATTTAAACGTTAGACCTAAAACCATAAAAACCCTAGAAGAAAACCTAGGCATTACCATTCAGGACATAGGCGTGGGCAAGGACTTCATGTCCAAAACACCAAAAGCAATGGCAACAAAAGCCAAAATTGACAAATGGGATCTAATTAAACTAAAGACCTTCTGCACAGCAAAAGAAACTACCATCAGAGTGAACAGGCAACCTACAACATGGGAGAAAATTTTCGCAACCTACTCATCTGACAAAGGGCTAATATCCAGAATCTACAATGAACTCAAACAAATTTACAAGAAAAAAACAAACAACCCCATCAAAAAGTGGGCGAAGGACATGAACAGACACTTCTCAAAAGAAGACATTTATGCAGCCAAAAAACACATGAAAAAATGCTCATCATCACTGGCCATCAGAGAAATGCAAATCAAAACCACAATGAGATACCATCTCACACCAGTTAGAATGGCAATCATTAAAAAGTCAGGAAACAACAGGTGCTGGAGAGGATGTGGAGAAATAGGAACACTTTTACACTGTTGGTGGGACTGTAAACTAGTTCAGCAATTTTCAAGTATATTGTTATTAACTATACTCACCATGATGCACAATAGTTTTCTTGAACTTATTTTTTGTATCTAATTAAAAGTTTGTGTCCTTTGACAAACATCTCCCCAATACCCCAACTCTCAAATGCTGGCAACCACCATTTCAGGTAGTTTTATTTCTAAAGTATGTCTTACATGTAGATACTTGTTCATTTAGAGCTTATCAAGCAATATAAAAAAATTATCCCAGAAACCATAAAACAAGTTCTCTCCATGTTTTACATAAGCTTTCAATGCTTGAAATTGAACAGATCAGCTACTGGAGGAAATATTATGGGTTTGTCTGACAGCTTCTGTTCACTGTCAAAATTCTGCCAACTAGTTGTTAGCACAGACAAAAATTTGTCACTTAAGAGACTAATGCATTAAGCCTAAAAGTCAAATTGCTCATTAAAGATAAGGTGACTGTTTTTTAAGAACCAAATATATGTTTTTATTAGAGGTAAAGCTCTCATGATTATATGGCCACTTATATCAGAAATTCAGCCACCTTACCCTCAGTGAACAATTTATCTTCCAGACTGGATTCATTGTCTATGCAACTGATATAGTTCCCTGGTTTAGAGCTTATTATCATGCTGCAAACTGAGTAACATATTCCCCCAGACATAAATGTCTACAGAGCTCCCCTTAACAAGAGTCAAGTGTCCTTTTCAACTTTGCTAAAACACCAAGATGCCCTGAATAAGCTTAATTGAATTATTTTGTTTTACTAAAGTATGCAAAGTTGTTCAGTTTCTTCTTTTTTTTTGTAATAATCAAGACCCCAGGTACACATAAATGAATTCTCTGCTCCTTTTGAAGAAGAAGATCAAGAAAAATTCCCCAAGTGCAAAATCAAAAAGAAAAGAAAGCTTTCTTTGCTTACTTGAGCTATACAACTCTTACCTTTCCTGTAATGCTTTATTAAATAGTGAAAATAAGTAAAGAGCAGGTAATTATGCATTTTTCCTTAGCTATTTTCCTAAGGGAACAAACTTATTAAAATTTCTATGTATTTTAAAGTTATATTAAGTAGCATCTGCATGACGCTATGGTTGACAATGCCTTTCAATTTCATTTGCATTTTGTCTTTATAGCTCATTGAAAATCTGAAAGTAATGAACAATCATTGAAAGCTTATGAGGTCCAACATTGTGTTAGGTGCTTCACCATATCACCCTATTTCAGTAAGGTACGTATCACTATATCTTAATTTTTAGATGCAGAACCTGAATATTTTCCTGTTGCATCATTTTTTATTGCACCTGAAGTTTTCGAAAGGCAGAATAATCATCAGAACTAACTTTATTCAGTGCCTAGGAGCGGCTGCACTATGAGGTGCTGCACTAGGAACTTTTATCTTATTGCTAATTTTCATTAAAGCCAAGTAAGAGAGGTATTATTGAGAGGTGAAGTGGCTGGGCTTCTGGGTTGGGTGGAGACTTGGAGAACTTTTCTGTCTAGCTAAAAGATTGTAAACACACCAATCAGCATTCTGTGTCTAGTTAAAGGTTTGTAAACGCACCAATCAGGGCTCTGTGTCTAACTAATCGGGTAGGGGACTTGGAGAACTTTTCTATCTAGCTAAAGGATTGTAAATACACCAATCAGCACGCTGTCAAAATGGACCAATCAGCATTCTGTAAAATGGATCAATCAGCTCTCTGTAAAATGGACCAATCAGCAGGATGTGGGTGGGGCCAAATAAGGCAATAAAAGCAGGCCACCCTCGCCAGCAGTGGCAACCCGCTGGGGTCCCCTTCCACGTGGTGGAAGCTTTGTTCTTTCACTGTGCGCAGTAAATCTTGCTGCTGCTCACTTTTTGGGTCCACACCGCCTTAAAGAGCTGTAACACTCACTGTGAAGGTCTGCAGCTTCTTGAACTCAGCGAGACCAAGAACCCACCGGAAAGAACCAATTCCGGACACATTATTTTACTTATTTTACAAATGAGGAAGCTGAACCTTAGTGGGATTCAATAAATTACCCAAGTCACATAAAAAGAACTGGCGGAATCAGGATTCTAGGCCGCACTCTCCACCAAGCCATGCTGCCAAACACGATGATCCCTTTTGCTTTTGCTTTTTTCCTTTTTTTTTTTTTTTTTTTTTGAGACAAGGGTGACTCAGTCACCCAGGTTGCAGTGCAGTGGCACAGTCACTGCTCACTGCAGCCTCAACCACCTAAGCTCAAGTGATCCTTCCACTTCAGGCTCCCGAGTAGTTGGGACACAGGAGCATACCACCACGCCCTGGTAATTTTTTATTTTTTGTAGAGAAAGAGTCTCGCTATGTTGCCCAGGCTGTTCTAAACTCCTGGGCTCAAGCGACCCTCCCACCTTCAGACTCCCAAAGTGTTGGCATTACTGGTGTGAGCCACCATGTCTAGCGTATGGTGATCCTTCTTTGATCATCTTCACTACCTTGACGCTTAGTAAATTCTAAACAATATCTTGAATTTTACTAATGTGATGCTACTTTTTTAAACAATCACTTTTTTTTTAATCTAACAAGACACTATTTTCCAAGTAATCCACATAAAGTGAGCAAAGACTTGTTTGGATACTAATTTTATAGTGTAAATTGGTACAAGAAAAGTTGTGGTTATACTTGTAAATGTTGTCCTTGGGCTTGCAAAGTATTCTCCAGAGTCAAGCAAATGCTCATATAATTAAGCCACCCTTTCTGAGGTAATCACTTTTTAACCAACTATTTTTTATACCAACTACATTCCTTTGGGTAATAATGAGAGGTCTGGTATTATACCCTCATACTGTATAGTGTTTTAATTAAAAGAGGTGTCACTGAATACATAAATATTTTGCGTCTGTCAGAATCTATAATCATGCAAATGGAAAAGAGCTGGGAAAGAAAACACACATCTTTTCTGTTTATATTTCAATTAGGATGTGAAACTTCATTGCTAAAAGTAAGATTTCGGACTTTCTAAGAGAAATTAAGACGTGCCTTTTTTTAGTTCTAAGCTGCATTGATGTCTACCAACATTAACAATAATTCCATGTTATACATATATGTTGCATTTGAACCTACAAAATATGACTAAACTAAGTCACCCATTTTTAGATTTATAACAATATGGTGTTATAAATCACAATGTTTTATTGCAATATTTCAATGTGGCATGGTGAATTAGACATTTGCAAATTGATAAGTTCTTCTGGAGTTGAAAAAACTTCTTAAAAGATACATGCACACTTTTCATGTCATCAGGTCATTCTGTAACATGTAATGATAAATGGTTAAGCATACCTGAAATGCATTATTATAAAGTCTTATTAGCCTCAGAAAAATTAAGCTAAGACTAAAAGAGGGGATATTTGAAAGAAAAATAAATAAATCACTTTTGCTGTCCAAAGAGCTCTAGCCTAAAATCAGAAACCTGAGATTTGTGCTGTACACAAACTAGCCATGAGACGTTGGCCAACACTCTTTATTTGCTTGTGACTCAGTCGCTTTAACTGTGAGACAGGATAACAAACTAAAGAAAAAATTACAAATGTGGTGGTATTTTGGGAGAGAAAAAGACTATTTACAAATCTGAAATATTTCTATTGTTATTTTATTGTTTGAATATAAGTACTTAACAGTGTGAACCTATTGAAAAAAATATTAAAACAGCACAGAAGGAAATATAAAGAAAACTTAACCTTTCATCCTAAATCCACTCTGCAGGAAAAAACCCTACTATGTTGTGTAATCAAATTTTAAAAAATAAATGTGAAGATTTTCTATTACAGTGAAGAGTTGATTCTTAAAAATCAACTCATATTTGAAGGCTTGCTTTTCAATTCACTGCACTACTCAAAACTGCAATTCACTTTATAGAACCAGACGTGAAACAAAAGCAAATGGCTCGCATTCAGAAGACATTGTTCAAGTTCTGGCATTACCCTTTATTAGCTGGGTGAAAAGGCTAAATCTCTGAGTATAAATTTCTCATCACTAAAATCAGAGTAATATTTCCTTTCAGCCTTGTTAATGAAAGAAGAGAATATAAAGATGCTCTTTAAATTATAACAAGCAGTATTATTTTGAGAGATTTGTTGTACAACTAAGTTGTTCCTGCTAATATAGTTATTAAAAAGTTAAATATTAATCTGTATAAATAGAGACAACAGAATAAAGTACTCTTAAATTTAAAATTTGTACTCATATGATGTTGCTAGGGGGGGTCTTCCTTTTTTCTACTTTGTCAGCTCTCTGGGAAGGTTGAACGCTCAGTTGGAAACAAGGAAATATTTCTGCTTATCTCCTTCTCCTACCACAGTGGTCCCCAACCTTTTTGGCACCAGGGACTGGTTTCGTAGAAGACAATTTTCCATGGTTGGAGAGTGGGGGTGGGTGGGTGGATAATGGTTTCAGGATGAAACTATTCCACCTCAGATAATTAGGCATTAGCTAGATTTCTCATAAGAAGTGCACAATCTAGATCCTTTGAGCAGTTCACAATAGGGTTTGAGCTCCTGTGAGAATTTAATGACGCTGCTGATCTGACAGGAGGTGAAGTTCAGGCGGTAATGCGCGCTTGCCACTGCTCACCTCCTGCTGTGCAGCCTGGTTCCTAACAGGCCATGGATAGGTACCGGTCCATGGCCCACGGTTTGGGGACCCCTGTCTTAGAGCATTCTCATACAGCCTGTTCACAGCATCCTAACAACTACACACTGGTAACAGACAAAAAAAGGGGAGAAAACAATGACACTAAATAGGTCCCTTCCAACATCTCTCCTTGGATGAAGCTGGAAGCCATCATCCTCAGCAAACTAACACAGGAACAGAAAACCAAACACCGCATGTTCTTACTCATAAGTGGGGGTTGAACAATCAGAACACATGGACACAGAAATGGGAACAACACACATTGGGGCCAGTCGGGGGGTGGGGGGTGGGGGTTGAGGAGAAGGAGAGCATTAGGACAAATATTTAATGTATGCGGGGCTTAAAAGCCAGATGACAGGCTGATAGGTGCAGCAAACCACCATGGCACATGTATAGCTATGTGACAAACCTGCACGGTCTGCACATGTATCCTGGAACTTAAAGTAAAATTTAAAAATAATAAAATAAAATTAATTCCCTTTCACCCAACAAACTATTCTTTTTTTTTATGCAATAAAATTTATTTTAAAAATACGTGCCTGTTAAAATACTGGGTAGCTTTTCAATATTTCTTTTTTTGTTTTTTGAAAGGCAATTTTATTATTTTATTTATTTTTTAAATTTTACTTTAAGTTCTGGGGTACATGTGCACAACGTGCAGGTATGTTACACAGGTATACATGTGCCGTGTTGGTTTGCTGCACCCATCAACTCGTCATTGACATTAGGCATTTCTCCTAATGCTATCCCTCCCCCAGCCCCCACCCCCGACAGGCCCCGGTGTGTGATGTTCCCCTGCCTGTGTCCATGCGTTCTCATTGTTCAACTCCCACTTATGAGTGAGAACACAAACTATTCTTTAGTTGAATAACACATCTCTTTATATTCTAGGAAATAGTATTCTGAATAAGTTAATTTTGCCTCCAAAAGCATCAAATATTCTTTCTCTTGAAATTCATTCTCTTGAAACTGACCCAATAGTCCCACAGACAGTTGTTTTTGGGTAAACATAGATATTGATCCTTCTGGTCTTAAAGCTTGAAACTTATATTTGTTTTATCTGCATTCCTTCCTCAGGAAATGATGTTCAGGCCTCTCAGAAAAAAAAAAAAATCAAAGAACTGAAACTCACCAGATCAGAGCATCCAGATAATGAGATGCCAGATCCCTCATTCATCATGATTGTTTCCTTGCCCCTCTCTAGTTCCTATCTTCTAATATTGTTACATTTCTTCCCCACTATATAAAAACCTAATTTTAGACAGTCAAGGAGAGGGATTTAAGACTGAGCTCCCATCTCCTTGGCTGCAGCACCCAATTAAAGCCTTCTTCCTTCCTCCTTGGTAATACTTGTCATCTCAGTCATTGGCTTTCTGTGCAGTGAGTAGCAGAACCTAGACCAAACCCCTGCTGTTTTGCGGACACTTTCAACTGACAAAATGTGGGCTTCTAAAAATTAGAGAAAATCAAATGTATGGTTTTAATAGACTTCCTTTCTCTTGTAAGCCAATGTTTAACTTCTTAAAGTGATAGCTAATAGTTGTTTAAAGAATTTTATTAATTGAACAAGATCTTTTATTAAGAGATAGATATAAAGAAACATCAATGGAGAGTCAATTCATCTTAAGCTGGGACAAAGAAATCAGGTTTCATAAATTGTAAAAATGACTTCATTGTCAAGTCCCTTAATTGTTCCCTCCTCTATAAATTAAGTTTAACTCACAAGTGTGTCTAGAAGACACTCCACTCTACCTAATGTCTGCTGTCAACAAAGCCAGAGCTGGGAATTGCACATCTAATGTACATGGCCTCTAATTGTTATTTTGGCTGTGAATAAAAAGGAAAAAAAAAGAAGTCAAAAATGGAATTTTCAAGGGCCCACCTGCATGCTTGACATACAAAAATAATACATTGTGTGATACACAGTGTTTGTATGAATGAACTTTTCTACTCTTGTGTGCTCTCAAATGTAACTTACTCTGTCAAACAGGATAAATTAAAAACAATCTTCTTAACCACTGTAATTTCTATTATTATTCCATATTCAGCTTTCTCATGCATTGTCTTTTATATTATCTCCCACTTCCATTATAAGTCATTAAAATAAAGGATTGTCGTAACTTTCCTCTAGTTCCAATAACTTTAAGTTTATCCTCTGTTCTTTTAAAGAGCTGAATGTACATTAAATTACTGAATGCAAAAGTAAAGAAAATACTTCCTTTTTTCATGCATTGTTAAAATGTTAATGCTATTACAAATTATCTGTCACTGATACTCAAAAACAGCTGTAAAAAGATAAAAAACTCAGTGACCCACAAATGATTGTAAGGTTTGGCACCATTTAAACTAAACGCTAGCAGTTTCCTTCAGCTCTGCCCTTATGTATGTCTCCTGTTTTCAAGAGCTGTCTGCTGTTCCTAAAGATTCTAAGTGTTGAAGCCCGTACCCTAGTCATTAAAGATCATCTGACACCACATGTTGCTAGGCCAGAGAGGCACAGCTGTAGTATGCTCTAGTACAAACTGTCAGCTCTCTAAACAAAGCACATGTAAGTCCTGCTGATGGAGGAAAATCTGGAAAGAAAACCCCACACTTTAGCAGGAGCATTTTCAATTAGAAAAGATAATGTAAAAGTATTATTTTAATTCAAAGACTGTGATGCTCAATAGTGTAACGTTACATCATGGTTTTCTTCCTAAGTGATCTTGATCTTCATGCAGCCATAATAACTAAGGTTTCAAATAAGAAATGATATTGTTCATTAATATAACATAGCACCATCAGGTTAACACGACATGCATTCTTTCTAGCTGAAGAGTTGGATAAAACCTTGCAATATAAATAACAAGTCTTAGGCAAGACTCTGATAACTATATAATAGACCTGCTAACAAAACAGTGTTTCTCAAGTTTGCATTGGCTAGTCTGGGTCCTTGGTGGTTCCATATGAATTTTAGAATTCTTTTTTATATTTCTGTGAAAAGTAACATTGGCATTTTGATAGGACTTGCACTGAATCCATAGATTGCTTTGGATGGTATGGACATTTTAACAATATTAATTCTTTCAATTTAAGAACACAGGATATCTATTTATTAATGTCTTCTTTAATTTCTTTCACTGATGCATTATAGTTTTCAGTGTAGAGATCTTTCATCTCCCTTGGTTAAATTTGCCCCTAAATTTATTAATTTTGATGTTGCTTGATATGGTTTGGCTGTGTCCCCAGACAAAACTCATCTTGAATTGTAGTTCCCATAATCCCTACATGATGTGGGAGGGACCCAGTGGGAGGTAACTTAATCATGAGGTTGGTTACCCTCATGTTGTTCTCGTGATGGTGAGTGAGTTCTCACAAGATCTGATGGTTTTATAAGGGGCTTTTCCTTGTTTCGCTTGGCACTTCACCTTGCTGTTACCATGTGAAGAAGGACATGTTCGCTTCTACTTCTGCCATGATTGTAAGTTTCCTGAGGCTTCTCCAGCCATGCTGAACTGTGAGTTGATTAAATATTTTTCCTTTACAAATGACCCAGTCTCTGGTATGTCCTTATTTGCAGTGTGAGAACAGACTAATACAGTAAATTGGTACCAGGAGTGGGGTGCTACTGTAAAAATAACTGAAAATGTGGAAGCGATTTTGGAAATGGGTAACAGGGAGAGGCTGGAAAAGCTTGGAGGGCTCAGAAGAAGACAGAAAGAGGTGGGAAAGTTTGAAACTTCCTAGAGACTTGGTGAATGGCTTTGACTAAAATGCTGATAGTGGTATGGACAATGAAGTCCAGGCTGAGGTGATCTCAGATGGAAATGGGGAATTTGTTGGGAAGTAAAATAAAGGTGACTTTTGCTATGCTCTAGCAAAGAGACTGGTGGCATTTTGCCCCTACCTTAGAGATCTGTGAAACTCTGAACTTGAAAGAGATGATTTAGGGTATCCAGGAAAAGAAATCTGTAAGTAGTAAATCATTCAAGAGGTGATTTGGGTGCTGTTAAAAGCATTAAGTTTTATGTATTCACAAAGATATGGTTTGGAATTGGAACTTATGTTGAAAAGGGAAGCAAAACATAAAAGTTCAGAAAATTTGCAGCCTGATGATGCTATAGAAAAGAAAAACCCATTTTCTGATAAGAAATTCAAGCTGGCAGCAGGAATTCGCATAAGTAAAAAGGGAGCCAAATGTTAATTGCCATGACAATGGAGAAAATGTCTCCAGGACATGTCAGAGGTCTTCACAGTAGCCCCTCCCATCACAGGCCTAGAGGCTTAGGGGGAAAAATGTTTTTTTTTTTTGGCTGGACCCAAGGCCTTGCTGCTTTCTGTAGTCTTGGGACTTGATGCCCTGTGTCCCAGCCATGATTAAAAGGGGCCAATATATAGCTCAGGCTGTTACTTTGGAGGGTGCAAGCCCCAAGGGTTGGCAGCTTACACATAATGTTAGGCCTGCAGGTGCACAGAAGCCAAGAATTGAGGTTTGGGAACTTCTATCTAGATTTTAAAAGATATATGTAAATGCCTGGATATCCAGGCACAGGTGTGTTGCAGGGATGGAGTTCTCATGGAGAACCTCTGCTAGTGCAGTGCAGAAGTGAAATGTGGGGTAAGAGGCCCCAAAAAGAGTCTCCACTGGGGTATTGCCTACTGGAGCCGTGAGAACAGGGCCACAGTCTTCCAGATCCCAGAATAGTAGATCCATTGACAGCTTGCATCATGCACCTGGAAAACCCACAGACACTCATTGCCAGCCTGTTATTGCAGCCAGGATGGTGGGCTGTACCCTGCAAAGCCACAGGGATGGAGCTGCCCAAGGCATTGAGAGCTCACCTCTTGCATCAGCACCTTGTATGTGAGACTTGGATTCAAAGGAGATCATTTTAGAACTTTAAGATTTGACTGCCCCACTGGATTTTGGACTTGCATGGGGCCTGTAGCCCCTTTCTCTTAGCCAACTTCTCCCATTTGGAATGGATGTATTTACCCAACACCTGTTGACCCATTGTATGTAGGTAGTAACTAACTTGCTTTTGATTTTACAGGCTCATAGGCAGAAGGGGCTTGCCTTGTCTCAGACAAGACTTTTGGACATGGACTTTTGGTTTAATACAGGAATAAGTTAAGGCATTGGAGGACTGTTGGAAGGGTGTGATTTTGTTTTGAAACATAAGGACATGAGATTTGGAAGGGGCCGGGGTGGAATGACATGGTTTGGCTGTGTCCCCACCTAAATCTCATCTTGAACTGTAGCTCCCATAATCCCCATGTGTCATGGGAGAGACCTGGTGGGAGGTAATTTAATAATGGGGGTGGTTACCTTCCTGCTGTTCTCATGACAGTGAGTGAATTCTCACGAGATCTGATGGTTTTATAAGGGCTTTTCCCCCTTTTCACAGGCACTTCTCCTTGCTGCTGCCATGTGAAGAAGGATGTGTTTGCTTCCTCTTCTGCCATGATTGTAAGTTTCCTGAGTCCTTGACATGCTGAACTGTGAGTCAATTAAACCTTTTCCTTTATAAATTACCTAATCTCAGGTATGTCTATATTACCAGAATGAGAAGAGACTAATACCCAACTGTAAATGGTATTGCTTTTAAAATTTCTCCTTTTGAGAGTTCATTGTTAGTGTATAGAAATGCATCTGATCTTTCCCTGTTGATTTTGTACCCTGTGACTTTACTGAATTCGTTTATTCATTCTAGTAATTTTTTTGGCAGAGTTTTTAGAGTGTTGTGTATATAAGATTATGTCATCTTCCAATAGAGACAATTTTACTTCTTCTTTTCAATTTGGATGCCTTTTATTTCTTTCTCTTGCCTCATTGCCCTGGCTAGGATTTCCAGTACTATGTTGACTAGCAGTGGCAAGAGTGGACATCCTTGCTCCTGATCTTAACAGAAAAGATTTCAGCTTTTCACTGGAGTATGATGTTATCTGTTAGCTTGTCATATTTGACATTCATTATGTTGAGGTATATTTTTTCTTTACCTAATTTGGTAAAGCTTGTCAAATTGTTTTTCTGCATCTGTTGAGATGATTCTATAATTTTTATCCTTCATTCTGTTAATATAGTGTATCTCATTTATTGATTTGTGTATGTTGAACTGTTCTTGCACCTCAGGGATAATTTCCATTTGATTATGGTGTATGATCATTATAATGTGCTGTTAAATTTGAGTTGTTAGTATTTTGTTGAAGATTTTTGCATTTGTGTTCATCAAGGATATTGGCCTGTAATGACAAAGCTTGGGGCATCACATTTTATGATTTCAAAGTATATTGCAAAACTATAGTAAACAAAACAATATGGTGCTGGTATAAAAACAGACATATAAACTGATAGAACAGAATACAGAACCCAGAAATAAATCCACATGTATAGAGTCAACTAATCTTAGATGAGAGCACCAAGAACACACAATGGCAAAAGGATTGTCTCTTCAACAAACTGTGTCAGGGAAACTGGATAGCAAGACCCTCAAAATAAAAGTGCACCCCTACACCACTTACAAAAATTAACTTGAAATAAAGACTTCAATATAAGACCTGAAACCTGGCCAGGTGTGGTGGCTCATGCCTGTAATCTCAGAACTTTGGGAGGCCGAGGCAGGTGGATCACCTGAGATCAGGAGTTCAAGACCAGCCTGGCCAACATGGTGAAAGCCTGTCTCTACAAAAATACAAAAATTAGCCAGGCATGATGGGGGGTGCCTGTAATCCCAGCTATTTGGGAGGCTGAGGTGGGAGAATCACTTGAACCTGGGAGGTGGAGTTTGTAGTGAGCTGAGATTGCGCCACTGCACTCCAGCGTAGGAGACAGATCAAGACTCCATCTCAAACAACAACAACAACAAACAAACAAAGTGAAAAAACACAAACTGACACCAAAAACTCCTAGAAGAAAACATCGGGGAAAAGTTCCTTGACATTGGTTTTGGTAATGATTTTTTTTATGACACCAAAATTACAGCAACAAAAGCAAAAATAAACAAGTGGAATTGCATTAAACTAAAAAACTTATACACAGCAAAGGAAACAAACAATAAAATGAAGAGGCAACCTAAAGAATGAAAGAAAATGTTTATCTCGTAGGGGGTTAATATCTAAAATATATAAGAAACACAACTCAAGAGTAAACAAAAACCAAATAATACAATTTAAAAATGGGTAAAAGAATAGACATTTTCCCAAAGAATATATACAAATGGCCAAGGAAAGGTGCTCAGCATCACTAATCATCAGGGAAATGCAAATTAAAATCACAAGCAGATATTACTTCACACCTATTTAGATGGTCATTATCAAATTTGAAAAGATAACAAGTATTGGTGAGGATGTAGAGGAAAGAGAACACTTGCACACTGCTGTTGGGGATATAAATTGGTACAGCTGTTATGAAAAAACAATATGGAGTTTCCTCAAAAAAATTAAAAAATAGAACTACTATATGATCCAACAACCCCTCTTCAGAGTATATATCCAAAGGAAATGAAATCAGTGTCTCAGAGAGATAGCTGCATGCTTATGTTTATTGCAGCATTCACAATAGCCAAGATATGGAAACAACATGTCAGTTGATGAATGAATGAATGAATGAATGAAGAAAGAAAGAAAATGTAGTATGCAATGGAATATTATTCAGCAATTAAAAAAAGGAAAACCTACCATTTGCAGCAACTTGAATGAACTTGGAGGACATGGCTTATTTAAGTCAGTCAAAGAAAGAAAAATACTGCATGATTCCATTTACGTATGGAATCTAAAAAGAAAATATAATGTTGTACTTAGAGAAACAGAATAGGATGGTGGATGCCAGGATCCAGAGTGTGGAAAATGGGGAGACATTGGTTAAAGGATATAAATGTTCAGTTGAATATTCAGATGAATAAGTTCTGAAGCTCTAAAATACCGCATAGTGACTACAGTGTTTTGCAGACTGGACATTTACTAAGAGAGTTGATGTCAAGTGTTCTCATTAAAAAGAAAAAAAAAGGATAACTATTTTCAGTGATGAATGTGTTAATTAACTTGACGTAACAGTCACACAATGTACACATATATCAAATCATCAGGCTGTGCACTTTATTATAAACAATTTTGTCAATTATGCTCAATAAAGTTTAAAAAATACCCCAAAAATAAATATTGGAAAATTTTACATTTTTACATAAAATTAAGTTTAACTTCTCTAAATTATTTCAGAGAGAAAGGAATCAGGCAGTATGAATCTGTTATTACTGCCATTGACACTACCGATAGCTAGGAAAAATGTGTTATCTGTATAGTGGGAACAGTGCCACTTTATACTGAGGTCTGTCTTATTAGCATTTCTTGTTGAATATTCCTCATTAATAATATCAAAATATATGTCAGACTTGTTGAAGTTTTCCTCGTGAAACATGCTTTAGTTGTTTCCATAAATTTAAACAGTGAGAGAAGAACAAGTAACAGTTTACAAAGGTGTATTTTAAAAATGTCGCAAAAAACACGATCCAAGATGGCTAATTAGAAGCAGCTGTGGTCCACAGTATTCACGGAGAGGAATAAGAAGGGGTGAGGGAATTCAGCATCTTCAATTGAAATATCCAGGTTCTCACATTGAGACTGACTAGGAAAACAACTCGACCCACAAAAAAATGAAGAAAAGTGGGGAAAGGTGATGGCCCATGGGGGAGTGGCATGGAGCCAAAGGAAGCCCCACCCTCATCCAAGGGAAGTGGTAGTGATTGCGCAACCCCACCTGAAAAACCACACTTCTCCCATGGATCTTTGCAACACATGGATCTGGATATCACTTCATGAGCCCACACCACCAGGGCCTTGGGTCTGACACACAGAGCTGTGTGGAGTCTCAGCAGAGCAGCCACTCAGACACACACAGACACCCAGGAACTTTACATGCTCTGGCCTTGGGATCACCAGTAAGGTGGGAAATCCATCCGCACATATCCCTAGGAAGGGTGCTGAATCCAGTGAGCCAAGCAGCATTGTTCTGTGTGCCCCACTTCCTGTTGCCTCACAAGTTAAGACCCACTGGCTTGGAATCCCAGCTAGCCAATGGCAGCAGATTGCAGTCTGCCTGAGATGAGTCTGAATTCCTGGGGGGAGGGGTGGCCACCATCTCTGTGGTTTGGTAGACTCAGCTATTCCAGCCTGCCCCCTGTGGAGAATACAGATGGTCCAGATAAGGAAGGGCCCCCCAACAATGCAGCACAGCTGCCTTGCCAGTTGGTGGCCAGACTGCTTCTTTAAGTGGGATGCTGATCCATTGTTTCTCACTGGGCAGGACCTCTCTGAGGGGGCTCCAGCCACTCCAGCCAGGGTACTATGAATAGAGCTCTGATCCCTCCCTGTGATGGAGCTTGCAGTGGAAGGGGTGGCCTCCATCTTTGTGGTTTGGCCAACTCAGCTCCTTCAGCCTACCAGCTTTGGAGAATTCAGGTAGTCCAGATGAGGAAGAGAGCCCCTCAATGCAGCATGCCTGCTCTACCAAAAAGCAGCCAGACAGCTTCTAGGGGCAGATCCCTTATCTCATTCCTCCTGACTGGGTAAGACCTGCCAACATGGGTATCCCGTCTCCTCCTACAGGTGCATGTAGGCTGGCAACAGATCAGTATCTCCCTGGGATGGAGCTTCCAGAGGAAGGATCTGGCTGTTATCTTTGCTGTTTCATGGCCTTCACTGGTGATACTTTCAGGTATGGGAGAAACTGAGGCAACTAGGGTCTAAAGCAGACCCCCAGCAAACTGCAGCAGCCATACAGTAAAGTAGCCTGACTGTCAAAAGGAAAACAAACAGAAAACAACAACATCAACAAAAAAGACCCCACAAAACCCTTATTCACAGGTCAGCAACCTAAAAGATTGAAGGTAGGTAAGCCCACAGATATGAGGAAGAATCAATGCAAAAACACTGAAAACTCAAAAAGCCAGAGTGCTTCTTCTCCTCCAAAAGACCACAACACCTCTCCAGCAAGGGCACAGAACTGGGCTGAAGCTGAGACGGCTGAATTGATAGGATTAGGCTTAAGAAGTGGGTAATAACAAACTACATTGAGCTAAAGGAGCATGTTGTAACCCAATGCAAAGAAGCTAAGAATCATGATAAAACAATACAGGAATTGGTAGCCAGAATAGCTAGTTTAGAGAGAAACATAACTGACCTGAGGGAGCTGAAAAACACAACACAAGAACTTCGCAATGCAAACACAAGTATTGACAGCAGAATAGACTAAGCAGAGCATAGAATCTCAGAGCTTGAAGGCTGTCTTTCTGAAATAAGACAGGCAGACAAAAATAGAGAAAAAAGAATGAAAAGGAACAAACAAAACCTCTGAGAAATATGGATTATGTAAAGAGAGCAAATCTATGACTGACTGGGGTACTGGAAAGAGATGGGGAGAATGGAACCAACTTGGAAAACATATTTCAGGATATCATGCAGGAGAACTTCTCCAACCTAGCAAGACAGGCCAACATTTAAATTCAGGAAATCCAGAGAACCCCAGTAAGATACTCCATGAGAAGATCAACCCCAAGATACATAATGATCAGATTCTCCAAGATCAAAATTGAAGAAAAAATGTTAAAAGGGCAGCTAGAGAGAAAGGCCAGGTTACTGACAAAGGGAAACCCATCAGACTAACAGCAGACTTCTCAGTGGAAATCCTACAAGCCAGAAGAGATTGGGGGCTAATATTCAACATTCTTGAAGAAAAGGATTTCCAACCCAGAATTTTGTATCTGACCAAACTACATTTCGTAAGTGAAGGAGAAATAAGATCCTTTTCAGACAAGCGAAGGCTAAGGGAATTCATCACCACCAGGCCTACCTTGCAAGAGGTCCTGAAGGAAGCACTAAATATGGAAAGGAAAAACTATTGCCAGCCACTACAAAAACACACTAAAGTACACAGACTAGTGACACTATGAAGCAACTACATAAACAAGACTACAAAGTAACCAGCTAGCATCATGATGGCAGGATCAAATTCACACATAACAATATTAACCTTAAATGTAAATGGGCTAAATGCCCCAATTAAAAGACACAGAATGGCAAGATGGATAAAGAGCCAAACCCATTGGTATGCTGCCTTCAAGAGGCCCAGCTCATGGGCAAAGACACACATAGGCTCAAATAAAGGTATGGAGGAAAATTTACCAAGCAAATGGAAAATAGAAAAAAGCAGGGGTTGCAATCCTAGTCTCTAATAAAATAGACTTTAAACCAATATGGATTTAAAAAAGACAAAGAAGGGCATTACATAATGGTAAAAGTTTCAATTCAAAAGCTAACTATCCTAAATATATATGAACCCAATATAGGAACATCCAGATTCATAAAGCAAGTGCTTAGAGATGTAAAAAGAGACTTAGCCTCCCACACAATAATAGTGAGGGACATTAACATGTACTGACAATATTAGACAGGTCAAGACAGAAAATTAACAAAGATATTCAGGACCTGAGCTCAGCTCTGGATCAAGTGGACCTAATAGAAATCTACAGAAATCTCCACCCAAATTCAACAGAATATACATTCTTTTCATTGCCACATGGCAGTTACTCTAAAATTGATCACATAATAGGAAGTAATACACTCCTCAGCAAATGAAAAGAACTGAAATAATAATAAACAGTCTCAGCACAATCAAATTAGAACTCAAGATTATGAAATTCACTCAAAACCACACAACTACATGGAAATTGAACAGCCTGCTCCTGAATGTCTTGTGGGTAAATAATGAAATTAAGGTAGAAATCAAGAAGTTCTTTGAAACTACTGAGAATGAAGAGACAGTGTACCAGAATCTCTGGGACACTGCCAAAGGGAAATTTATAGCATTAAATGCTCACATCAAAAAGCTGGAGGCATCATGCTACCCAACTTCAAACTATACTACAAGGCTACAGTAACCAAAAAAGCATGGTGCTGGTACAAGACCAGACACATAGACTAATGGAACAGAATAGAGAACTCAGAAATAAGATTGCACAACTACACCTGTCTGATCTTTGACAAAATCGACAAAAGCCAGCAATGGTGAAAGACTCCCTATTTAATAACTGGTGCTGGGAGTGCTGGCTAGCCATACACAGAAAATTGAAACTAGAACTTTTTCCTTACACCTTACACAAAAGTTAACTCAGTGTGGATTAAAGACTTAAATATAAAACCCAAAACTATATAAGCCCTACAAGAAAATCTAGGCAGTATGATTTAGGACATAGGTGCAAGCAAAGATTTCATGATGAAAATGCCAAAAGCAATGGCTACAATAGCAAAAATTGACAAATGGGATCTAATTAAACGAAAGAGCTTCTGCACAGCAAAAGAAACTATCAACAGAGACAGCCTACAGAATGGGAGAAAATTTTTGCAATCTATCCATCTGACAAAGGCTTAAATTCCAGAGTCTACAAGGAACTTAAACAAATTTACAAGAAAGAAACAAACAACTCCATCAAAAAGTAAGCAAAGGACATTAACAGACACTCCTCCAAAGAAGACATACATGTAGGTAAAAAACATATGAAACGAAGCTCAACATCACTGATCATTAGAGAAAGGCAAGTCAAAGCCACAGTGAGATACCATCTCATGTCATCCAGAATGGCTATTATTAAAAATTCAAAAAACAACAGATGCTGGTAAAATTGTGGAGAAAAAGGAATGCTTTTACACTGTTGGTGTGAGTGTAAATTAGTTCAACTATTGTGGAAGACAGTGTGGTGATTCCTCAAAGACCTAGAGGCGGAAATACCATTTAACCCAACAATCCCATTACTGGATATATACCCAAAGGGATATAAATTATTCTCTTGTAAAGATACATGCATGCCTCTGTTCATTGCAGCACTATTCACAATACCAAGGACATGGAATCAACCCAAATGCCCATCAATGATAGACTGGATAAAGGAAATGTGGTACATATACACCATGGAATACTATGCAGCCATAAAAAGGAATGAGATCTTGTCTTTTGTAGGGATATGGATGAAGCTAGAAGCCATCATTCCCAGCAAATTAACCAGGAACAGAAAATCAAACACCACACGTTCTCATGTATAAGTGGGAGCTGAATTATGGGACCACAATTATGGACACGTGGGGGAAAACAACATACTGGGGCCTGTCGTGGTAGGGGGAAGGGGAAGGAGGGCACCAGAAAAATACCTAATCAATGCTGGGATTAATACCTAGGTGATCTGATGATCTGTGCAGCAAACCACCATGGGACACGTTTTCCTATGTAACAAACCTGCACATCCTGCAATATACACCTGAACTTAAAATAAAGTTGAAGAAAAAAAAAATACATGCTAAGATTGTGAACTAATGTTCGTAATACGGTCAACTTTACTATTATGCTGTCATTTGTGCATATAATAGATATTTATTTTATGCTCTTGTAGATGTCAGCTTGGCTCATATTACCAAAGCTACATACTAAAACTTTTTAAGAAACTCTCTGACTTCTAGACCTCACTTCTAAATAACAGCAAAGTAACAAACTGATTTTACCTGATTCCCAGTGTAAATAGAGAATATTAAAACAATGTATAATAAAGATCTGCATACATGGATATAGTACTTACAGAAAAATAAAACTCATATGTAAGATACTAAGATGCATGGAGGAACAAGATCTAAATATCAAAGGTAGATAGCAATTTGTGGTTAGACCTCTAATGAGAATTAGCAATAACAAGAAATTACTGGTGGATACTGAATTTCTGATGTTTCAGCCCTGTGCCAACTTGCTTCTAAATATAAAATGCAGAATTTTAACTTGGGTACCCTGGTGATTATTTAGTGACAAAATCTGCCTGTTCATTTTTCCTTTGTAAAATTATCACTCTGATACCTCTTCAAGGTCCCTCTGCTTAGATTTTGATTAGTTTCTCTTTTTAATTTTTACATTTAAAAAAATGTTTGTGGGTACATAGTAGGTGTATATATTTATGGTGTATATAAGATGTTTCGATACAGGCATGCAATGTAAAATGATGACATCATGGTGAATGGGGTATACATCCTTCCAAGCATTTATCCTTTGAGATACAAACAATTCAATTACACTCTTTACTTTAAAATATATAATTATTATTGACTATAGTCACCCTATTGTGTTATCAGATATCAGGTTTTATTCATTCTTTCCATTTTTTCATACCCATTAACCACCCCCACCTCCCTCATACTCCCTACTACCTTCCCAGTCTCTGGTAACCATCTTTCTACTCTCCAAGTCCATGAGTTCAATTGATTTGACTTTTAGATCCCACAAATAAATGAGAACATGTCATGTTTGTCTTTCTGTGCCTGGGCTATTTCACTTAACATAAGGATCTCCAGTTCCACAGTTCCATCCATGCTGTTGCAAATGTCTGGATCTCATTCTTTTTGATGGCTGAATAGTACTCCGTTGTTTATATGTACCACATTTTCTTTAGCCATTCATCTGTTATGGACACTTAGGTTTCTACTGAATTTTAGCTATTATGAACAATGCTGCAACAAACATAGGAGTACAGATATCTCTTCGATGTACTGATTCCTTTTCTTTTCAGTATATGCCCAGGAGTGGGATTGCTGGATCATATGGTAGCTCAATTTTTAGTGTTTTGAGAAACCTCCAAACTGTTCTCTGTAGTGCGTTGTACTAACTGTTATTCCTAGCTGATTAATATGTCCCAAAGTAAATATGATTTTTCCCCTTCCAATATAGTTATAGGAACAATGCATTAAAACAGCTATTATATTCTAGAGTTATTCATTCTTTGGCAGTTTTATATTTTTCAAAGTTCACAAATGGTAACCTCTTTTCAGCTAGAATGGAAAGTTTTACAACTGACTCAAGGGACAAACAGAAAAACACTGCTTGTTGTCTAATTTAAATAGTTAAGAAAAATCATAAAATTTCTTTTGTTCAACTTACCTCAAACATTACATCCCAAAGTAGAAGTCAAGTGTTATTACTTTTACATTGAAGGGACTACTCATTAATAAAATCAACTGCCAAATCAACTTTAAACTGCAATAAATATCCAATTAAAATAAAAAGCAATAGATCTTTTAAAGTGTATTTTTAGTGCATATATTTTTTGATATGGAACAGATATTCACGAAAGTTTGCTACAATGTGAATTACCATGAAGCCCAATTTCCTATAGACAGAAATGGCAGAGAGGTAGAGGATGTTTTCGGGATACTTAGGGGAGTTTTCTTTCTGGCATCCAGCTCTGGTGACCATTAGCACTTGTGAAAAGTAGGGAAGAACCAATTACCACACCCATAATACTGCCATAGCAGCAGCCATACCAATGAGCAGGTGTAGGCTTTGCTACTGCAGCTAGAATACTCTACAACTTCAGCAGGCCAGGGCTCCGGACAGAGCAACTGGAAGCTTTCCTACCCACCAGTGCTAACGGGTGATTCTTTATCCTTAATAATGAAAATGTAAGACTTAGGCGTGGGCAAGGACTTCATGTCCAAAACACCAAAAGCAATGGCAACAAAAGCCAAAATTGACAAATGGGATCTAATTAAACTAAAGAGCTTCTGCACAGCAAAAGAAACTACCATCAGAGTGAACAGGCAACCTACAACATGGGAGAAAATTTTCGCAACCTACTCATCTGACAAAGGGCTAATATCCAGAATCTACAATGAACTCAAACAAATTTACAAGAAAAAAACAAACAACCCCATCAAAAAGTGGGTGAAGGACATGAACAGACACTTCTCAAAAGAAGACATTTATGCAGCCAAAAAACACATGAAGAAATGCTCATCATCACTGGCCATCAGAGAAATGCAAATCAAAACCACTATGAGATATCATCTCACACCAGTTAGAATGGCAATCATTAAAAAGTCAGGAAATAACAGGTGCTAGAGAGGATGTGGAGAAATAGGAACACTTTTACACTGTTGGTGGGACTGTAAACTAGTTCAACCATTGTGGAAGTCAGTGTGGCGATTCCTCAGGGATCTAGAACTAGAAATACCATTTGACCCAGCCATCCCATTACTGGGTATATACCCAAAGGACTATAAATCATGCTGCTATAAAGACACATGCACACGTATGTTTATTGCGGCACTATTCACAATAGCAAAGACTTGGAACCAACCCAAATGTCCAACAATGATAGACTGGATTAAGAAAATGTGGCACATATACACCATGGAATACTATGCAGCCATAAAAAATGATGAGTTCATGTCCTTTGTAGGGACATGGATGAAATTGGAAACCATCATTCTCAGTAAACTATCGCAAGAACAAAAAACCAAACACCGCATATTCTCACTCATAGGTGGGAATTGAACAATGAGATCACATGGACACAGGAAGGGGAATATCACACTCTGGGGACTGTGGTGGGGTCGGGGGAGGGGGGAGGGATAGCATCGGGAGATATACCTAATGCTAGATGACACGTTAGTAGGTGCAGCGCACCAGCATGGCACATGTATACATATGTAACTAACCTGCACAATGTGCACATGTACCCTAAAACTTAGAGTATAATTAAAAAAGAAAAAAAAAAAAAGAAATTTCCAAATCCTTACCTAAGAATCATCAGAAAATATAATTTGCTCCATGGCTTTATTAATTCAATAGGAGAAAAATTCATGCAATTTATGTGATGTTTATTATGTGATTGTTGGACTGCAATAACTAGAAAAAATAAAGTTGTCAGAAGTCACAATAATTTCATGGAAATTTGTTCAGCTAAAAATGAATTTTAGATGACTGGAATAGTTGATGCATCAGAGAAGAAAAGATTCAACACTAGTAACATTACTTTAAAATGGAAATTTAATACACAGAATGGCCAAATTTCATAATCCTCTATGATGCTAATTTGTGTCCAAAGAATGCCTGCCCCTTCCTTTTCAGTATTGATGATTATGTAAATAATTTCTAGATCTATTATGAATGTTGACATATTTAGAATTATGACTTTAAAAATCACATGGAAAAATAGAAAGGCTACTCTCCAAGTTTGCAGAAAATGAAGTCCACATAAATTCTGTTACTATCAGTTGACCTCCTGTCCTGCTGTAATAAAGTGTTTCAAATATTTCAAATAGTACTCTCTTGCACAGTGTTCCATAGCAAACAGCAGTTGTAGTGCATTGACTTTCAAATGGCTTTTACTCTAGTGGTAGATGTTGTTTTACAATATAAGTACACTCATATTTAACACAGTCTCCTGAGAGAAAAATAATATGTTATGGATGGCTAGTTACTATTTCTACCTGAAAAACAAAGATCTGTTTTTTGCTAATACATAGGATACAGTCATAAATGCCCGTAGTTGAAAAGCTACAAAAATGTCTAGTTCTCATTTTGAAAAAATAAGGTTGCTCATAGCAATTGTATCTTCCTTATGTCTCTCTATACATGGGAGTGATTTTGCGAGGTTGTTTTAACATAAAATATCCCATTTTTCAAGATGTAAAAACCAATTCTGACTTATTTAAAGCACACTCTAACATAGGCAAAATGTGCTTATATTTCAGCCACTTTTCTACATGTTAGGAATACAGAAGGAACAAAGCAGACAATGATCACATGGAGCTTACACTCTAATGGAAAGAACAAAATATTCTAATTTATAGCTGTTTACTTAAAAATATTTTGTGCTTTTGCAATTCACAGTTGCAAAGATAAGGAATCAACCTAAGTGCCCATCAATCAATGAGTGGATAAGGAAAATGTGATATATATGTGTTTGTATATATATATATATATATATATATATATATATATCACATTTGTATATATATATCACATTTATATATATATATACCACATTGATATATATGTGGTATACACCATAGCATACTAATCAGCCATAAAAATAATAAAATAATGTGTTTTGCAGCAACTTGGGTAGAACTAGTGGCTGTTATTCTAGGTGAAGTAACTCAGGAATGAAAAACCAAATACTGCATGTTCTCACTTATAAGTGGGTGGTAAGCTATGGATATGCAAAAGTATATAGACTGGTATAATGGAAAGACATAGGAGACTCAGAAGAAGAGAGGGTGAGAGGGAGATGAGGGATTAAAAACTACCTATTGAGTAGAGTGTACGCTACTCAGGTGATGGGTGCACTAAAATCCCAGACTTCACCATTAGACAATTCATCCATGTAACCAAAAAATACTTGTACCCTGAAAGCTATTGAAATAAATAAAATTAAATTAAAGAATGACAATAAATACAAATATTGCATGATTTGAAATACATTTTGAAATGCTGAAATATAATTTTGTCTTGAAATACATTCTACAAGAATTTAACATGCTAGTATAAATTATTAAATCACACAATCCCCATATGATGTGTCATTGTCTACTGTATTTCTGTCAGGCTGCTCTTATTATTGGCCCATCTACTAGCCATCCCACTTCTCCTGATCACTCCAGTTATTCCTCCTATTAGAATTCTTTTTGTCACCCTTTTTCTGTCTGCTTATGAAAATCCCAGCCAGCTTTTTAAGCAACTGTGATCTATATAGTTTAAATGCTACATCTTTCCTAAACCTCCCCCATTACCCCAGCCTTTGCTTATTTCTTTTTTACTGAAATTTTATAGTACCAATTAATTAAATAATTATAGTTTGTATCTGATTAAAAATATAAAGCTATTCTCAAATATAAATTCTCAAATATAAATATAAAATCGTTAAAATTATCACATACAAAACCATTAAATATGTCTGGAATGAATTTTAAAGATCATTTAATCTAACTTAATTTTACAGCAGAGAAAACAGCGCTAGAAGCCGAGTGATTTATCACAGTTACCCAGGTGACAAAAGTAGCATTGAGTCTGAATCCTCAACACTTGACTTCTAATAAAGTATTTTTCCACTCCATCAAACTACTTGTACCAATTTGTTTTAATGTTTTTTCCTAGTCACTAGTCTTTATTTTACAATGATAAGATGCAATCAAATTCCAAATGCTTTAGCCTATGTTATTAATATTATCTCTCAGGGTTATCTCATCTATTCAGAAGCGACAGTATTTTCTTTTGTAAGTTTTTTTTTTCCCTCTATATCTGCCTCCTCAAAAAATGTTTGGTAATTTTTTGTCTGTTTAACTATAATTTGGCTGTTTTTGTCTTGTCCTGTACTTGTTAAGCTGTTATTGTTTCAATTCATCTTTGTCAGAATCTTCCTTGAGATAAGCAACCCCCAAAGATCATAATAGCTTCTTACTGCTCCCTCCATGCACTTTAGTCTTCAATATGACAGACCCATTCCATAACAGTCTCTTGTTTCTGTGGACCCAATAACATGGGAAGTGCTGAACTGCAAAGTACTGGCTTTGTGTATGTATTTGTATATTGTAACAAATACTCTCTCTTATTCAGGCTCCTCTGAGGCCTCTGCTCGACGAGACCTGATCTTGGGTTTCCCTCTATCCTTGTAGAATCCAGTTTAAGTAAGAATCCTGCTAAATTAGTTTAAAGAAAGTCCCCCATCCTTGATGTCTGTCCTTATCCTCACCTTCTATATCTTATCATCCTGGCCTGTCTTCAGCAAGAAGTCTGTTGAGTTGGCATAGCAGGAATCCTCCTTATGCCTGATGTTTCCTCTTAGTAATATTCTATCCACTGACCCCATACTGCTCCTTGGATATCAATGTCCTCTTGTCCTTGTTGGAATCAGAGTCAAGCCCAATCTTTCTTCCCCACTGCACCGCAAGTTCCCATTGCAGTGGTCCCTACACCTATTGCAATGGTCCCTCCTTAGGACCTTCCTCACCTTATTTAACAAGTGTTATAAATAATGCTTTTCTTTAACAGTTATAACATATTCAACTAATATCAATGTATCATCTGATTGCAACATCTTAGTGTAGGACAGAGCACAGCCTGTATAACCATAACAACTACTGTATTGAATTCCAAACCCAAGGTACATTATCAGAGCAACTGTGGAATTTTACGTTTCTTCTGTACATGCCATCACTTATCCCACAGTCCATTACCCCTAGCACGCCGAGATAAGCTGCATGAGTTTAGTTGCTTCCTTTCTGGCTGTAACAGAACATGGAATTGGAAATAATGTGGTGGGCAGAATTGTCAACTATTATTTAAACACAAATTCTTCTTTTGCTTTGATTGCTGACTTTATTGTGCCAATTTTAAATAGCATTTCTTTTTTTAAAGGGAAAATGTTGACTTAAGGTTTCCTTGGTAAAAATTAATGATTTCATTTAAAAATAATTGTATCATAATAACTAAAAACTCTTAATTAAAGCATAGTATTGGAAGTTAAGGATCCAAGAATAGTAAGACTGCTTGCATGAGAATGAAGTAAAAACAAAGCAAGTACCTTAAATTTGCTTCTAGGAAATCCTAAAACATAGGATACCATATAGCATATAACAAAATGTAAAACATTTCAGAGGTCTCAGGAGCCTAGATTAGGAAGGAGACATTGGTAGCATGGAATGCCTCATAACCGAATGCCTAGAAGGCATTTCCATCTAAGGAATTAGATCTGATTTTTGAAATAAAAACAGGATTGGCTTCTGATTTCCAGAAATTTGGGTAATTGGGAGGATACCAGTATGTTGCCCAAGTTACTGGAAGTGTGTACGTACTTAAAGAGAATATGGTTTAAGGCAACCATATCCCACACACCAGTGAGTGAATTGGAAATGACTATATTCACTAATTTTTGTGCATTTGCCATGCCAAGGCCTGGAGGAAAATTACTCTTTATGTCCCCAGGAGACTGGTAGAGAAAAGAATTCCTAACTGAGAGCCTCATCCTGTAGTCTTCTTGAGAAAAATCTGTATGGGCATTTTCTCCTCTCTATGATTTCTTTTCTTCTAAATCTCAAACTGCAAAATAATATCAACTTTTAGCTACAAAATTTTATCAGTCGTGGCTAAAATAACCATATAGAATATGAGTTTTAAATATAAAACTCCCTCCAATTACTAGGTGCATCTTAAAAATGACAAAAATTTTGTACAGTGTATGTATGCAAAACACATCTTGGAAGTGTATAAATGTTCCCTGAATGTGACTATAGAGAAATAGATGACTTCTGCACTCTATATTCTTGAATTGCTTCTTACCTATAGCTTTTTGTATGCCCTTCGCATCAAGATTTGCACTTGAATGATGTTGATAACAATCATTTCTTGGAGTCTAATATCAAGATTTTTTAGACTGCTGCACCCCCCCAACACAAACTTTCCCCTAGCTTGCACACTCAAATGCACACATCAAAATTTTTATAAAAATTTTGTATCTAGTCTCAGCATGAATATGAATATAGAGGAATTCTTAGGTAGCATGCTCTTTGCAGTAACTGCACTTCCTGACTGACCATTAATTACCCAGGATCAGCTTTGTACTACATATACCTGGGGTTTATCATTTTCTAGGGATTCCTGTGCATTAGGTGTTCTGGAGTTAAATTTCATGCTCTCAACCCCAAGAATTGAAGCATGTAACCAGGCAAGAAAATACATGCTCATAATACAAAAATAAAAATTGTATCTTCAGGATTTTTAAACTTGACCTGCTTTCATTTGAACACCTGCAAGCATGCGTTACTAAACTATCTCTATAAGTATGGACGAATTTTGAATAGTCACAGTGATTATAAACAAAAGAAGAAAACAGTGAGAATCAGTCAGAGAGAAAGGTAAGAGAAGGAAAATCAGAATTAATGAGATGCAAATTACTGCTAAATTTTAAAAATATATATTGCCTCAGCCTGTCCTTCACGTAAAGATAAATATATCACAAATCCTTCCTAGTACATTATTTTAAATAGCTATATATATATGGGAAACAGGTTTGAATCCAAATTCAAACTCCAGGCATCAAGAACATATGACAGAAGCACAGCTTTCTTATATTTTTTATGGTCATTTACAATACTTGCAGTCAAGTATGATATATATTTTAATTAACTTTGCATGGGATTCCAACATTTTGCAGTTCAATAACTGTGTTATGAATAAGATCATGGTACTGAGAAAGCTTTTTCAGCATCAACTTTAATAGTATAATGTTTAAAATATAAATTATAATATCCCTGATAATAGGAGTGTGAAAAGGCAAAATTTAATATTTAGTTAAGGCAAAATAAATGTGCACTTCCAAGATATGTGATTCTGGGTCAATAATTTAAATCACTTGTTCTTCCTTATCTGTAAAATGGGAATCACAATAATGTCTATATCTAAAGGGGTACTGTGAGGAGTACAACTAACAAAAAAATACCCCAAACACATCCTAGTGTACTAAATAAAATGGCTCTGAGTATTCCGTTTCACCACGGAGAGGATTCAGCATGTGTATGTATAAAATCTTCCTTATCCATTCTTTGTGTTGTGTGTCCCAATTAAAAGTATAATGTAGTTATAGCACCTAAACACTAACAATTGTCTAGCTAATTCCTGAATCATTGTTTCATGCCAAAAGTAGTTGGTACTAAATGGCTAAACTGAAATCTGGCAATGCAACTAGAAACAGAGCTGAGAAGTAGGGTATAGAAAGTCCAAGATGGGTTTGGAAACATGCAGCAATTTCAAAATGGGTAAAGGTTCGGTTTCATCCTACGATTATCTGAACTTAGAAGACAAATTTTAGTTTTTGTAAGAGCCTACTATAATTCTTTCTTTGCAACAAAACTATAAATTTACCATTATTTTTTACTTATAATATTTATTATAAGATGCTGGCAAATAGGCTGCATTTTTAGAACACCAGAAAATTTTGCCCATAACAATTTCAGAGATTTATTATCATATACTTGTCTTCTGACTTAAAAAGATGTTTAGAATACCAAGAGTTGCCTTCTTTGGAGGTTAATACAAGAACGTGGCGCATCTAATTCATCATGTATGACAAAACTGGCCTTTGCATTTTGGGATAAAAGAGGCCCTAAAAATTTAGGAATTTCATTTAGGGTTAAGTTTGACTTTCATTGTAAAGGCCAGGATTACATGCAATTTATTCTTGCTTTCATAAAATTGTAGTCTTTCAGTTTTGACTGCCAGTACATTAGCAAAGGGAATTAACACGGCACTCTAGTATTGTCCTGCTATCTACTTGCATATTTTAGAGATAAGGTTGAAAGATGTAGCCCTGAATGATTATAAAATTGAAATAAAATTAGTCATTTTATATAGCTTTCATCTCATACCCGAATAGTATTTTTCTTTAATCTAAACCTCCAGAGATTACTTTCCATAGGAACAATGTATTTTTAAGTATCTAGTCATTTCCACTCTATATGAAAACAACACTATCCTTCTGACATTTAAGAATATATATATATATATATATATATATATATATATATATATATATATATATATATGATGTCTACGAAGACTTAGAGAAAAATAAGGGAGACAGCTGCAATTCTAAGCAGTTAATATAAAGACTTACAGATAAGAGGGATTTTAAGTATGATCTTATAGTACTATGTGTCATGTGATGGTTTTGACCTAAGTATTGATGTGACTGCACTTAATGGATTTATATACTTGATTTGTATTTTGAAAGCTGTTCCTTTTTAACAGTATGAAATGCCTTTAAAATAAGTTCTACAAAAGGATTTTTTTCTGTCAACTAATGAAAATAAGATGCTAAATGATAAATATCCTAGTTTCATCTTACATGGTTTCATTAAATGTGTAAATCCATTTAAAAAGTAAACCCATACATAATTCTTTGACTATTACTAAGAGATTTTAAGGGATCAACTAAAATAAACTATTTCAATTTGTGTCCTATAAGAATATTTCCCTTCCAGCCTACTTTCTACAGATAGAGCCAGTGTATAAAAATCTAAGAAAAATGAGGAAATATCAAAGGCTTATTTGATGTTACATAATGATGCACTATATGATTCACCCGAAAGTTACTTTCTTCATGTATTTTGTTTCTTAATTTTTAAAACATGATTTCTATACAGATATTTTGTGTGAATATCCCTATTGTGTGAGATCAGATGCAAGCATTTTGAACAAGTTTTGATGTGCTGAAGATCACTAGCTTTCATCACAACAGTTTTGATGTAGTTTTCTTTTTTTTTCTGGAGTATAGGCAAATAAAATGAAACCTAACAGTACCCAAAACTCTCCTTATAAGAATTTCAAGCTAAACTAATTGTTTTTTGGGGACTCTTCCAAATTAAATTCAGTCACTTCTACTCACTTCACAAGTTACCATCAATTTCCTGTGTTGTGTGTGGAGTAGGTCACCCAAATTCTAGCATAATGTGATCAAGGAAATCTAGTTGTATACTAAAAGCTTTTGTAAGTCTGTTATTAAGCACTGAACAAGAGCAAGCGAACACACACACACACACACACACACACACACACACACACACACACAATCCAAGAGATACAGCTTTGGGATATGCACTTCTGAAAGGAGAAAAGCAGCTAAGCCAGCTAAGGTGAAATCACAGATGGCTCTCACCGAGTTTATTGGATGTTTTAATGGCTGCATCAAAACATCAAAACCTATAAGTAAGCCTGTGGCTTTTTTTTTTCTTACTTTCTAGTCTGAAAGAAATGTGGAGTATCATGATTAGTAATATTTACGTGTTTTCTCTTAACTATGGCATGGCTGTTATTCTGTTTTCAACTGTCAGATGTGAACTACTAACTGATAGATTAAAGATTGTGTTGTTAACTTCTAATACAATAGTTTCCTAATAATTGCATATCTTGCTTTTGATATTCAGGGGGAAAGCATTCTGTTTTTCACCATTATTATGACGTTAGCTGTAGGTTTTACATGGATGTTCTATCTTAAGTTGTGGAAGTTCTTTTCTATTTGTATGTTACTAAGAATTTTTATAAGGACCGGATGATAAATTTTGTCAAATATTTTTCTTATATTTGCTGTGATGATCACGTGCTTTTCCTTTTTCAGTTTTCTTAATATGGTAAAATATATTAATTGATTTGTTTTAATAGACTTTATTTTTTAGAGCAATTTTAGGATCACAGCAAAATTGAGAGGAAGGTACAGAGATTTTTCGTATACTGTCTACTCCACACATGCATCGTTTCTTACGTGTTAATAGCCCCCACCAAAGTGGTACATTTGTTACAATTGATGAACCTACACTGACACATCATTATTAGCTAAAGTTCATAGTTTGCATTTGGGTTCACACTTGGTGTACATTTTATGGGTTTAGACAAATGTACAATGAAATGTTTCCACCATTATAGTATCATACAGAGTAGTTCCACTGCCTTGAAAATCCTCCATGTTCCAACTGTTTATCCTCCCCACTCCAACTCCAGACCCCTCACAACCCCTGGCAACAATTAATCTTTTTACTTTGCTTTTTCCAGAATGTCATCTAGTTGAAATCATACAGTAAGTAGCATTTTCAGATTGACTTCTTTCACTTAGTAATACACATTTATGTTTCCTCCATGTCTTTTCATGGCTTGATATATCATTTCTTTTAAGCACTGAATAATATTGATAGATTTTAAAGAGCTAAACCATCCTTGCATCCTAGAATAAACATCACTTGCAAATGACGTATATCATGTTGGATTTGACTGATACAATTTTGTTTAGAATTTTATATCTATATTCATTAAGGATGTTGATCTTTAGTTTTCTTTTTTTCTTTTGGATTTTTAGTTTTGTTTAGTTTCTTTATCAGGGCAATGCTGGCCTGATAGAAGGAACTGGGAGGTATTCTCTCCACTTTAACTATCAGAAAAATTTTTTATGGAATTAGTGTTATATTTCCTTTAAACACTTAGTAGAATTGACAAGTGAAGCCATATGGGCTTGCCGTCGCCTTTGTGGGAAGGTTTTAAACAAGGAATTCCATTTCCTTAATAGATATAGGACTAATCAGCTTATCTATTTCTCCTTTAGTGAACTTTGGTTGTTTGCATTTTTCGAGTAATTTGTATATTTCATCAAAGTTGTCAAATTTATATGCATAAGGTTGTTCAAAATATTTCGTCTTTCTTCTTTTAATGTCTTTCTAATCTGTAGTGATGTCACTTCTCTCATTGTTGATATTACAAAGTTGCATCTTCTCTTCTTATGTCTGGCTAGAGATTTATCAGTTATAATTTTACTGATTTTTTCAAAGACAATGAACCTTTGGGTTGACTGATTTTCTCTTGCTTTTTCTGTTTATAATTTCACTGGTTTTGGCTTTGAGCGCTATTGTTTTTGTGTGTGATTCCTTTGTGTTTAACTTGTTCTTCTTCTTCCAGTTGCTTAATATTAAGCCTGAGGTCCTTGATTCTTTTCCTTTTTTTTCTTTTCTAATAAATTAAGACTGAGGTCATTGCTTCTAATAAAAGCACTATAAATTTCCCCCTATTTCCTGGTTTAGTAGCATCACGGAAATTCTGACAAACTGATTTTTCCATTTCCATTCAGTTCAAAATGTTTTATTTTGGTACCAATAATTTATTTAAAAATGTGCTATTTAGTTTTTAATTATTTGGAGATGTTTCCAGGTATATTTCCCTTATTGATATACAGTTGAATTCCATTGAGGTTACTGAACATACTTTCTATAACATGAATTCTTTTAAATTTATTGAAACATTTTATAGTCCAGAATGGAGTGTATCTTAGTAGATTCTCTATGTGCACTTGCAAAGAACGTATTCGGCTATCATTGAGTGGAATGTTCAATAAATGTCAATTAGGTCAAGTTAGTTGACAGTGGCAATCCAGTCTATTATGTCCTCTCTGATCACAAAACTTGTTGAATCAGTTGATGAAAGAATATTGAAATTCCCAACCAAAATTGTTAATCCTTCTACTTTTCCCTGCAGTTCTACCAGTTTTTACTTCATGTATTTTAAGGTTCTTTTATTAGTTGCACGAACATGAATAATGAGTATATCCTCTTGATGAATGCATGCCTTTAACATTATGAACTATCTTGCTTGATCTCTATTAGTATTATTTACTCTGAAATCTATTTTTCTGATATTAAATAGCCATTTCCACTTCTTTTAACTATTGTTTACATAATGTATAATTTAAGATGTGTTTTCAGAATTAAAGTGAATTTTTGTAGAGAGCCTACATTAAAATCTTGTCTATTTTTATCAAACCTGATGATCTGCATTTTAATTGAGGTGTTTACACTGTTTATATTTAAAGGTGTTACTGGTTGTTTGTAAGAATTTTTTTTTTGTTTGTCCTATGTCTTTCCCATTTTCTTGCTATTTGTTTTTTTGTTTGTCCTATGTCTTTCCTGTTTTCTTCTTTCTCTGCCTTCTTTTCTGAAGGTGGGGTATCCATCCCCGTGAGCATTTATCCTTTGAATTACAAACAATCCAATTATACTCCTTAAGTTATTTTAAAATGCACAATTAAGTTATTAGTGACTACAGTAGATTGAATATTTTTTATAATCAAATTTTATTTCTGTTGTCTTTTTAGATACAACTTTTTCATTTTAGTGGTTGCTTTACTACTAATAGTATATACCTTTAACTTATCACAGACTGCCTTCAGACTATATTATCCTACATCACGTATATTATAAAAACATTGCAATAATATACTTCTGACCAGGCGCAGTGGCTCACACCTATAATTCCAACACTTTGGGAGGCTGAGGCAAGAGTATCAGTTGAGCTCAGGAGTCTGAGACCAACCTGGGCAACATAATGAGACCTTATCTCTACAAAAAAAAAAAAATTCTATTAGCCATGTGTGGTAACCCTTAGTCCTAGTTACTTGGGAGTCTGAGCCAGGAGATCATTTGGTCTCAGGAGGGTGAGGCTGCAGTGAGCCATGACTCAGCCATGGCCCTCCAGACTAGGCAACAGAGTGAGATCCTGTTTTCAAAAACAATACATATATATGTTTGTGTGCCTGTGTGTGTATACATGCGCATGTGCGCCCATGCACACACAGACTTCTATATCTCCTCTTCCAAACTTTTGTGCTATTATTGAAATACATTTTACTTATATATGTTATAAACTCCAATATATTGTCATTAATGTTTTATAAATAGCTAAGTTATTTTATAATACAGTGTGTTAAGGCTGTTCTTGCGTTACTATAAATACCTGAAACTGGGTAATTTAAAAGAAAATAAGATCTTTAATTGGCTTATGGTTCTGCAGGCTGTACAGGAAGTATAACATCAGCATCTGCTCTGGAGTAGGCATCTGGAGGCTTACAATCATGGCGGAAGTTGAAGCAGGAGCAAGAGAGGCATGGGGGAAGGGCTGCATACTTTTAAATGATCAGATCTAATGAGAACTCACTCATTATCACAAGGACAATAACAAGGGGGATGGTGGTAAACCACTCACGAGAAATCCACTCCCATAATCCAATCACCTCCCACCAGGCCCACCTCCAAAACTGGGAATTATATTTCAGTATTAGGTTTAGGCAGGGCACACATCCAAACTATATCAGAGAGTTTAATGATACAAAAACTAGCTTGTATATTTACCCTGTAGTGATCATTTGTAGTGTTATTCTTTGTTTTTGTATGTCCACATTTCCATCTGGCATTTTATTTTTCCCTGCCTGATGGACTTCAGCATTTCCGTGGGCTGGTGATAAATTCTTTCAACTTTTGTATGTTGGAAATATCTTTATTTTGCCCTCAGTTTTGAAAGATATTTTCATTGGATATAAAATTCTAGGTAGACTTTTTTTTTTCTTTCAGCACTTTAAAGACAGCCCTCCACTGTCTTTTTACTTGCATTGTTTCAGACAAGAATTCTGCTGTCATCTTTGTTTCTCTCTACATAGTGTGTCTTGTTTCTCTGGCTGCGTTACATTTTTTTTTCTTTATCATTGAGTTTGAGCAATTTGATTATTATGAGCTGTAATGGGTGCAGTTTTCTTCATGTTTCTTGTGCTTGGATTCATTAACCTTCTTGACTTGATGAGTTCAGAGCCGTCATTAAATTTGGAAAATTTTTGCCATTATTAACTCAAATATTTTTTTCTGCCTGTCTCACACCTCCTCTCCTTCTTAGACTCTAGTTCCACATAAATAAAGCTACTTGAAATTGTCCCAGAGCTCAGTTACTTTTGTTGTCATTTTAAAAAGTCATTATTCTGTATTTCATTTTGAATAGTTTGTATTGCTATGTCTTCATATTCACTGATCTTTTCTTCTTGCATGTCTACTCTAACATGAATTCCATCCTGTGCATTTTTACCTCTCATACATTTTGGCTGGCATTTCTGGAAGTTTGATTTGAGTCTTTTTAATATCTTATGTATCTCTACTCAACATTTTGAACATAGAAAACACAATTACAATAACATTTTAAGATGCTATTATATGCTAATCCTAATATTTGTGTCAGCTCTCAGTTTCTGTTGATTATTCTACTCATTATAGCTTATGATTCCCTGCTTATTAGTATGTTCACTAATCTTTGCTTCTATGTCATTCATTGTGAAATTCACTGTGTTGGCTTCCAGATATTTTTCTATTTTTATAAATATGATCAAGATTTTATCTGGAATGAATATAAGTTACTTCAAAAGTTTGATTCTTTCAGGCCTTCTTTTTGTTATTTGTTAGTAGATGCAGAGTTATGCTTCATCTAGGGGCTAATTATGTCCCACTACTGAGAAAGACCTTTTGGAGTACTCTGTTCAGTGCCTTAGAAACATAATTTTTTTTCCAGTCTGACTAGTAGAAACAGGCACTATTTCTAGCCATGTATAAGAACCAGGCATTATTCTGTAATACTACTGGATGGCTTTTTCACAGTGACTTCAGATGTTTCCCTCACAAATACACTGATCAACAAGCTGATGAATACCCAAGGGAGACCCTGTGCTGATCTCCAGGGTATTCTCTCTGTCTAGCTCTTTTCTCTTCAGTACTTTGCTCCAGAAATTCTAACCATCTCTGTCTCCTTAACTCAGGAAGTTATTCAGGCTCCACCTGGATTATCTTTCTCTGCATTGTGTTCTGGCAACTCCCTCAAGATTGTGAGCTGTGGAAATTTTAGGTTTACTTCACTTGTTTCCTGTCTGTCAGGGATCACTGTCCTTTTTTGCCTGAGGTCCATAATTTGACAGATGTCATTTCATATATTCTCTCTCTCTTTTAGTTGTTTCAGAAGTAGGATAAATCTAGTCCCTCTTATTCCATCTTGGACAGATGTAAAAATGTTCAAGTAGTTTTTAAAAACCACAAATATGCTTCTGAGGGTGTATCTTGTGAAAACACTTATGTTCTGACTTAGAAGTGTCAGGCTACTTTGATTCTTCCAGTCTTCAGATATTAAAGGGAAGTTGTAGCAACTTTAGATCCAAGACAATATTTATTCATGGCTATTACCTTTCTTTTGGAAAGATGGTATGAAAGTATATGCAAAATAGAAGCTCACACATTTTTAAAAGAACCAGTATTGTTTTGTCATGAAATATTCTAGTGATGATTTTCTCAATGTGAGAAGAATTGCATAATATCAGATGGACAATCTAAAATTAATGGCGACTTTATTGACCTAATTAGACAAATAGGCACACATAGTGAATTTAATTCAATTGTATGAGCTATAAAAGTCATATTTGCATGAGGACATTAAGCTTAATTTTTAAAATTTGAGAAAAAAGAGAAAAAACTACTGAAACTGTACCAGATGTTGAAATTATACAATGAATAAAGGAAGATCCTACACAGTCGCTAAAGACAGAGAGAAACAGTGTAATGATGTTTTGAACTAATGAGACCTAGTTAATAAATCTAATCACTCTTCCTATCCATACAGTAAAAACTCTGCATATCAGAATAGATTATTGAAAGAAACACAGTTTCCAAATATATTTTCTTATATTAGTTTTTTTAGATTCACATGAATTTGGAAGAAATGAATTAGTAAAACTGGTAGCAATCATTTCACAAGCAGCCAATATGCATACCGGGTACATTTTGTTGCATTTATTTGAACTTTATATTTTACTTTTTTCATAAAGAATAAACTTTGGGCATTTAATATTTGTCCCTGTGTTTGATGCAATGGGAAATTATTCTGATTTTACTCTTTAGATAGGCTTATTTTAGAAAACATAAGCAAAAGCAAAGCAAATAATTCCATATATTAGGTAAGAAAAAATTGTGTAAATTCGACTAGATTCCCGAAACTGTAACAACATAGTACTGATGTGTACTATTATTTAAAAGAAAATAATAGTCATGTATATTGAGCTATAGACGTAGAAAAAGTGCTCAGACTATTGTCCTCCTTCTCATTATATATATGGCAGTTGAATGAAAAAAGTCAGAGTCTAAACCTCTCCTCACTCACAAAATCTGTATATAGTTTTAAGAAAATAGATTCCTATTAAGTGGCAATTACCTAATCAAGTATCTAGCATATCAATCCAGAACCTTAAAGGTGATTATAGTTTCATAAAAGGGATTCCTTTGCCAGTTGTAACTTTGAATTAAACTATTTAAATCATTATATAAATAATTACAATAACATATATTTAAAATTATTAAATTAATAGTAAATCTAATAAAATGAGAAGATAATAAGCATCCTCATTGAATATTCTTAAAAAATGAAAAGGTAAAGTGTTAAGCCCATTCAATTACGATCATTTCCTTAATGACATCGATGCAGCTAAGAAATAAGCTTTATTCATGTATGGCTTCATGCTAAAATCATATAAATATTTTGCCTATAGCTAAACTTAAATAATCCCTTTCAGGACCCTCAAAAAACAAAAACAAATAAACAAACACCTTCAAATATTACCTTCAAGTTAATAGCAAATGATAAAAATTATTTTAGGCAAGGAACCATTCTCAACTATATTATATTATATTATATTATATTATATTATATTATATTATATATATTATATTATATAAATGTTTTGATTTCAAAAAAGAGCTAACTGTATGTTTCAGAGAGGAGCAAGTCAAGAATGAAAATACGATTGTAAGTTGTAAGGGTTTGAGATAATTACAAGTGGTCAAATGTGTATCTTTTGGTGTATACATTAGCTAAATGTTAAGAAGGTTAAAATTACTTAGGCAAATCAAATTTTCATCTCACAGAACTGCCAATTACAATTTAACTCTATGTTCAACTACTTTCTAATTCTTTATGCACCATTAATTGAGGGGTACTAAGGATAAATATTGCCCCAAAAGACCCCATTTTGCTGAAATATCGCACCCCCTCTGGATTGTACATAACTTGAAGATCATAAGGTACCTGGATAGGACAAAGAAACTATAAACCAAAAATAAAATTTAAAGGCCCCCTGCAACCATCTGAATGGGCTCCCTCCTCAGCCAGAGCCCCCTAAAATTTAACATGAAAGACTGGTTCAACCCATTATGGCAAGTGGGTGTTGGGCATGCTTCATTATACCCTGCCAACATTAACAGCAATACATTAAGTCTGGTAAGAAACATCAACAATCTATTCTCTCTAAAGTCTGCTACTTGGAGGCTTCATTTGCATGAGAAATCCTAGGTCCTCACAAGCGCTTATAATATCTAGACTTTCCTTTCTATAGATAATAACTCTTTCAACCAATTGCCAATCAGTATATGTTTGAATCTACCTATGGCCTGGAAGCCCCTGCTTTGAGTTTTCCCACCCTTCCAGATTGAACCAATGTAAATCTTACATGCGTTGATTTATGTATTATGTCTCCCTAAAATGTATAAAATCAAGCGGTACCCAACCACCTTGGCACGTGGCATCAGGACCTCCTGAGTCTATGTCATTGGGGCCGCCTTAACCTCGGCAAAATAAACTTTCTAAATTGATTGAGACTTGTCTCAGGTACTTTTTGGTTTACAAAACTTCTGTTTCTCTAAAAAAATGGACAGTAACAAAAAGTGTGACAAGGTTTAGTGGATATTCTCAGCACTGATTCACTATGGAGATTGAAAAGTGTATCGTTAAATTAATTGAAGCTGATAAGATGAAATAACACACAAATTCAGGAATGAATGTTCTTTAGGAAAAATAATTTAACTTTAAGATAAATGACAATAAGAAGCTGGGAAATATAAGTGTAAGAAATTGTACAAAATTACAAATTATAAGAAAATAATTTAGCTGTCCATGAAAACTGGGTCTTCATGTTGTACTGGGTCTTCTCTAGTAAGACATTTGTTATCTCTATAGCCATGAAAAACTGAAAATATGTTCCAATATTGTTCCTCACTTGCATATTTCCTTTTTAAACAGTGCTTTTTTTAAAACTTGAATTTCCTAAGCTTGACATATAATTGGGATAACACATCTTGCTGAGGTATTTTCTACCTGAATTAGCATACATTGAAAAATACTTATTTCCCTTTCAAATTCCTTATCTTCATTAAGCTGTGTCTATTTAATTACATTGCCTTACAGCTTGCTGAGTTTCATCTTATACAATTAAATGTTCTTCTAATTGTCCAATAACTTTTCTGTTCAGCTTTGGGTGATTTATTTTAGACACAGAGTTATTTCAGTTTAAACTCAGTAACATATCTACAGTGGGATTCCAGTCTAATTTCTATAATTTATCTAGGACTCTCAGGCAGGAAAAGACAAAACTCAAGCTTTCTTTAATTCAATGAAGAATAACAAAAGGTCTTCATTGAGGAAAAACAGTGAAGATAGCTTCAGTTGGAATTGCTGCCATATAATGTATATGAACAACAACAATTTGATGGTTCCAGTAAAGTTAGTAGCATTTTGGGTAAATAATTAATTGAATTAAGGTACTCCAAAGTAGAATTTTAAAATCATATATTGACTTAAAATCTAATTTAAACTATTTCCATATAGTTTTGAAGAATTGGATAAGGTGCCCCTAGTCTGTTTTAGAGTATCCTAAAGAGAGACACACAGAAAGTATCCCAGAACTAATGTCTTTAAACCTCACTACAGTCAGAAAAAAATATCTAGCTAACAGCGGAGTGTTGTGCCAAGAATTTCCGATTTTAGCAAGGAACAAAGAGTGACCTATAAATCTCAAGAAAAAGCTATTCTTTCAAAAGAGCAAATTATGTTCAGGGGGGAAAAATGTTAAGACTAGAAGCATAACAAGGGTTGACAGACATCTTTAATTATGGGTGCTATTCCAACCCAAGCCTAAAGGAACTAAGCTTTCTCCTCGTGCTGGTAAAATTTGAATGCCACTAATCAATGATTCTTATAGCTTGGGCCGTGAAATTCTTCTACAATAACATTCCCATGGTTAGGGACAATTAACAAAGGGAACAGCTAAAAGAAAGACAAAGACAAAGCCCATTTTTAAAGGAAAAAAAGATTTCAATAGCTGAGGTGAAATATTTAGCTACGTTTTAAGAAAAGAATGCATCTGTGATGTTAGTTTTATTATTGTCCTAATTAACAAACTTATAACATTTTGTTTGGATGGAGACATATCCTTAACCACAACTTTGTTATCACCCTTTCTCTTTAGAGACACTCAACACATTCAACGAAAGGGCCATTAAGAATGTCTCCATTTAGAAACCCTATTTTGGGTGATTTTTGTTAATTGTTCACATTATGATTGTTATTACTTTTTTTACTAGAAAATTTTTGAGGATAAGAATTAAACACTAATTGCAAACAAAATGAAATTTGCTTAGGCATGTCTGACACCTAAAATATTCATTTCTTCACACCAACTTTCCCATTTAGCAATAGTTATTCACTGACAAATTTAGGAATAACTGCTTACTACCTAAGCAGTTCATAAATATGCATGGATTTTTGTCAACAAACAAATAAACTAGCGAATATTTTGATAAAAATGCATCAAAATATGTCAGGATTATAGTAAACATTAATGTTATCTTTCCTATAAAAGCTGAGCTCCTTTTCCTTAGTAAAATAAATTTTCTTTAAAATTCATCATGGGTGGAAATATCTTCAAATATTTGCATAGAGAACTGTGCTAAATTGTGTTTGAAGGTTGAAAAAACGCATTGTAGGTATTTGAGTTGCCTATCTGACAACAAAAATTCACTAATGTAAAGTAATATTATACATCAAAAGAGTTTCTAATATTTTACTAAGGTATTTCACTGCTTCTTCTTTAAGATGATCTGGTCCATGAGTAACCCATTCTCTCTCCTGAGGCTGATAGTAGCAAAGGAGGAGACAGTTTTCTCTGGCTGTGTCTGAATCTTCTGAATACAGCTTGGCCTGTTAATTACTGCAGTTTTTCAACTGGCACAAATGAGGCATTAGGAAGTGGCAAAAGCTTTGCAAGACATAGGTCTGCTTTTACTAGTTAGAGATTTTCAAAATAGACCCACCTTGATTATCTTAAAATATTTTTATAATCCAAATAGTGGTACTCAGGAAGTCAAGAAGTTAAATGTTTTTCATGCTACATTTTCTTTCATGACATCTTCAGTAATGCATCATTTCAGTATTTGGTCATAAAAGATAAATTTTTCATTCAAAGGTAAAGGAATCAAAATTAACTAAAGGTGGGTAATTCCAGAGACTTAAATGTGTTTAAGATTTGTGGGTAAAAAGGGTGGGAGCAAGAGTGCCAGTAATCTCCACTTCTTATTGGAAATGCTACTTGTAACGTATTCATGAATTTAACATAGGATGACTGTAAGATGTTAATGAAAATGTTTTCAGATTATTAAGTAGGTACTGGATGAGTATGTTTCAGTACACAGTTAAGTCTAGAAATTTGCTCTCTCCCTCTATCTCTTTCTCAGGCACGCACACACACACACACACACACACACACTCACACAATGCAGACACATACACCATGCCCACTTCTTCATACCTCTCTTCCCTCTCTTCTCTTGTTCTCTCTGCTCTCTTCCTCCATTTCTCCCCTTTTCTCTCTTGCTACTACTGACTCTGTTTGCCTCTCTTCATCTTTAACACATTTTCTCTCTCTCGGCCTCTCTTTTGAATTTTCCCTCTCTTGCTCCCCTTTCCCTCTTCCCATGTTTCTCCACTTTATCTTTACTGTACTCTCTTCCTATTTTCACTCCCTTTTTCTTCCAAACTTCTCCCCCTGTCTCACCTCCTACCTCTTTTCCCTTTCTCCCCCTTTCTTTCTCACCATTTCTCTTTCCAAAACTCAAAAAGGGGCATGACATTTTTGTCTTTTTCTTTTTTGAAATAACGTATACACATAATCATACACAATGTTCCACAGCTGTGGCTGAGCTTTGGTCAAGAACAGACCATCAAAAGATATAATAGTGTATTCATGGAATACTATGCAGCCATTAAAAAAAAACATGACATCGCGTCCTTTGCAGGGACGTGGATGGAGTTGGAAGCCGTTATCCTCCGCCAACTGATACAGGAACAGAAAATCAAACACTGCATGTTCTCACTTATAATGGGAGCTGAACAATGAGAACACATGGATACATGGAGCGGGGAACAACACACACTGAGGCCTCTTGAGGGCGGGTGGGGTGAGGGAGAGCATCAGGAAGAATAGCTAATGGATCCTGGGCTTCATACCTAGGTAATGAGTTGATCTGTGCAGCAAACCACCATGGCACATATGTACGTATGTAACAAAGCTGCACATCCTGCACATGTACCCTGGAACGTAAAATAAAAGTTGATGAAAAAATATATATAAGTATAATGACGTATTTTTCTATTGAGTAGAGAATGTTTGACTGCTTAAAATATGACTTCTCTATAGGATTAAATTGCATTCATCAGCCAAAAAATATTATCTTAATCATTTTTTCTGAACTCAACTCCTGACAAAAGACCAGATAATGCACATCTAAAATACTGTGTTTCTTTTTATCTAGAAGTTTTTAAATAAGTCCTAAAATTATAAAACACAGAGGTAGAAGTGGACTTAGAATTCACGTAGTGTAACCTTCACCTGAAGCCCTTCAATAGAGCAGTCTGTCAGTGTCCACATATCCTTTGCTTTTTCAATTTTAGTGCTGGAAATCTCCCTGCCTCATAAGATGGCTCATTTCATTTTATTAGAAAATGCTGTCTTCTAATGAAATAAAATCTGTCAGTGTAAACTTCACTCATAGGTTAATACCAATTACTCATAGTACATTAGCAGACTATTTTCAACATAATTAATTTGCCTTTCATAATTTCTTTTTCTGCCAGACCAACATGCAAATAGTTTTACTGCCCCTTATTATATAAAAGTAAATTGGAACAAGCTAAAAACTTTCAAAAAGGTTTTCTTTCAAGCCAACTAATGTTGGCAGTTATTTCAAAATTAATGATCATATACACACACACGCACACAACACACACACACACACACACACACCACTAAAGCTTATTGAAAAAGAAAAGAAAAATGAAAAAACAAAACTATCTGTAATGAATTTCCCAAAACAAAGTTCACCTCAGCTCCCTTGCCTGGACAGTGTTTTGAAATAGTCCCTCTAAGATTACAGGTGCTTTTAAATCTTACATATTTAGAAATCTAATCTATTAAAACTAACCATAGGAGTGGCTACAGAATTTTCCCATCTACATATATATTTTATGCTTAGATTTCAAGTCTGAACACCATAACCATATTGAATGAACCACTCTAATGACCAACTCTGACACTAGGCTACTTTCAAAGCTTATTTACCATGTTGTCTGGTTCCAGCATCAAGGGCCAAATTAAGCCATCAAATCTACTTCCAAGTAAACACAACAGTTGTCATTGTATTGGGAATTATATGGAAAACTAAGTCCTAAATGTGCTACTGCTTGTGACAGGGCTACCAGCTCTGTTGTATTTGCTAGCTAAGGGCTAATCCCCTACTTCTCACTTTTGATGGTCACAAGTTGTACCTCAAAGTTTTTTTTTTTCTGAGAAAGAAACAAAAATAATATATAGTAAGTATATATATGTGTATATATGTATATGTATGTGTATATATATACGTGTATATATATATATTTGGAGAGGACCTCTTTTTTTTTTTTTTTTCCTCTTACTCTTTTCTGCCAAAAATCTTCCCTTCCTGCCGTGGTTTATCTGTTACTTTACAGAATTGTATACCATATATCTCTCCATAGTGTCTTAGGAGAGATGATTTCCTTTTCTTTTATTCTTTTACTAATATTTCTCACATGCACACAGACACACATGGACAGCATTTTACCACCACTATCAGGTATGCTTCCAAATTTTGGTAGTCTTTTATATTTAAAATAGATTTCTACCTATTACTACCAATTTTTTTCTATCATTTTAGTCCAGTGAATAGTCTACGTTTTAGAACTATCTATGGACATTTGGGCTAGATCTAACACCTTTTAATGAGTCTTTGAGCCTTACAAAATTTCTGTTGTTGGGGCTTATTTCTCTTTATTATCTTTCTGTTCCTGAATTTATTCTGAGAGATCTTGTATATATGCTAACACTAATTATATAATAGTTAAGTAGTTTCTTACTACTTTATGGATTTCGATTTGCTTTCTGTCATTTTAGGCCTGCTCTTTTTAAGTAAATCACTCCACTACTCTCCTCAGTAGAGGCTTTTTATGAGCCTGCCTAGTATCTGAAGAATACAGAATCACCAACATGTCATATATTTGCATAACATTGATAGAAGTCAAGTAGTTCTAAAAACTCACCAAATTTCTGAGAGTCAAAGTGTCTAGAGTTGACTAAATCTTTACTGCATATTTTTTCTTAAAGACTGCTGGAATCTCATTGAACAATGGAGTCATTATACTTGCTAATTCTTATTTCACTTCCTTTGCATTTTATCTGCCACGAAGTTAATTTTATTATTTCCCTGAGATTACTGCTTTTAATAGCATGTCTCAATCTTTCATAAGTGTATTGGTAAGAATGCTACTGCTTTGCTAATCAACGTGGCCATGATAATCAGTAATGATAGTTAAAACAAAATTCCTGGAGCTAGACTGTCTGGGCCTGAATCCTAGCTCCATTACTTCCTAGGCTGGTGATCTTGGCAATTTACTTAGCATTTCTGGGCTTCGATTTCCTTACCTGAATAACAGACACAAAGAAATGTAAGTATTTCATAGGGCTCTTGTGTTATGTTCAAGGGCTCAGACTAGTACCTGGCACATAGTAAGAACTCAGCAAACCTTGTGTACTCTTTTACTTACTCATTAGACTCTCTGTATATGTGACTATCAGGTAGACTGTAAATATAATATGTTAATTATAACAATATAAACTAAATAATTCACAGTAATGATCAAAATGGTTGAAATAATTTTGCTAGACATATGAATAGCAGATTATTTCACTTTTCAGAAAAAAACAGATAAATAGGATTGATATTTATCAGACTTTAAATTTATTACTTCATTTTATAATTCATAAAAAACAAACAATATTTATTATAATCTAAGCTAGGCACCATTTTATCAGATTCAGGTTACAGTTGTTAAGGTCTCTAAAATATTACAGAAACACTTCTACAAAGCTCCTAAGACATCTATATATACGGGATTACCTACACGAAAACAAATGTTTATATATACACACTACACTTAAGGATTTGATTCATTTGCTCCTACTTGATCTTTGTTCACAAGCTTAAGTAATTCATTTGTTTCCTTTATCTATGCACAGCATTTGATTAATTCTATGATATTCCAGAGCAGTGAATATCATACATTGAAAATATGCTTTATAATGTGAATTAGAAGGATATTATATCAGATCACAACACTTGAAAATAAATCAAAATCCATCTGTATCATTTTCAGGGCATGTATTATCCATTGTGAACACTTACCCATGACATTTACATCCTTAGCTAGGATATACCAGCCATTAATTTCCCTCTATAAAGAAATTTGCTCACACAACAAACCACTAATTGTTGAAATGTAATTTGAGGGTATCCGAAAGTGTACTGTCTGGAAAAACTTCTGTTAAAAAACTTCTCTTAAAGTTTAGTAAATATAATAAAATGCTTATTTCCTTTCTTTCAAAGTAATATTTGAATGTTTTTTAGGCTCCAAGTTTGTTTCTTGTTTTACAGTAAGTATTTTTCTATCTCATCATGCCTAATAAATTTAATCAGGGCATTTTTAGCATCTTCTCTATACAAAGCACCACTCATTATATAATATATATGACTAAATGATAATCTTCAGCATGATATAAAGTTATATATTTACTGTGGGTGCCCACAAAGAATAAAATCCACAAGAGCCACGTTTGATTAGGTTGTTCATTTTACAAAACCCCAAAATAAGTAGCTTGGTCTTTTTTATATACATAGTGAGAGAAGTGTTACTAAGTGCAGCAGTCAAGAATATATTCACAGCATGCCATTGGTAGTACAGATAAGGGGAGTCACTAAAATAAACCATGAAGCTTAATTTCCAGGCTAAGTGTCTGTCTCACCTCTTTTTTAAGCTGAGGAATAGGTGCAGAGAAAAACATGTACTTTTATCTGGTCATTTATTTGGACTATAAATTAGACTAAATCTACCTTTAAACACTGGGCTGAATGTGAAAAATCCCCTAGTAAACAATGGGGCCCTGAGTACAATTCTTCCTCCTCCACACCCTTGTGAATTATGAAGCTTAATCATGTTCATGTCTAAGCCAATACCTAAATTAAGTAATAGATCAGAAGCTGGAAACAAATTCTGCAGCTCTTACATTGCCTCTTTCAGAATGATTTTTCTCCCCTGCTTCCCTATCTGCCATTGCCTTCTGCAATGGGGGAACTTCTCAGAAAAGTTACAATAGATATCAAAGATGCATTACATAAGCAGAGAAAGTCATTTTACTGCTCTGGTTTCCTAAGATTCCTCATTGATAAAGTGAAAGATTTGGACATGAAAGCTCTTCTAGCTCCGTGAGTCTAAAATCTCTATCACTTACGTTGTTTACAACTGAGTCACATTATAAGAATTTTTTAAAATCTCCTTTAAAAGGCTTTATAGTTTAATTGCCAAGAGCATGGTCTCTAAAGCCTAAAAGGCTGGATTCCTTACCATTCACTAGTTCTGAGACCTTGAACACATCATCTAAATGCTCTGTTCCTCAGTCTTCTCATTTATGAAAAGGGGAAGATAATGGAATCTATATCATATAGTTATTATGAGAATTAAATGAGTTAACCCATGTAAAGCACTTAGAAAAGTATTTGACACTTAGATGGTGAATTTGTCATGTTCCCTAACTGCTGATGATGAAAACTTGCGATCATATTGACTACATTTTCACTATTTTACTGAGCATTTCACAAAAATATTGTCTTCTATTGAGGAACATCCATATTCAGGAAACATAAAGCGAGTGTGTGTGCATGTGAGTGTATTATTTAGCACATTATCTATCTAGATTATTTAGATAGTGTGTGCTTTAAATAAACTATATTTCCCGTGTGTCAAAACAGTTCTTGCTTTCATTCTTGATGCAGAAGCTAAAAAAGTTGATCTCATAGAAGTAGAGAGTAGAATATTGTCTACCAGAGGATAGGAAGCATAGAGGGGAAGGGGAGATAGAAGAGGTTGGTTAGAGGTTACAAAATTACAGCTAGAAAGAAAGAATAAGTTCTAGTATTCTATAGCATTGTAGGATGACTATAGTTAATGATAATATATCAAATAGTTAGAAGGAGGATATTAAATGTTCCCAACACAAAGAAATGATAACTGTTTGAGATTATAAATATGCTAATGACCCTGATCTGATCACTATACATTATATGTATTGCAACGTTACTATGTAACCCATAAATATGTACAATTATGTGTGAACTAAAAATGTTTAAAAAATACAAATCAAAAAATATAATATTTGCAAAAAATTCTATTACAATAAGAATTACACATGGAATATACAGATATTTGGGAAAAATGTATTTACTTAGTTTCAATCAATTGGCTGTCTGATATAACAATAGGCTTTTAAAATCTACAATAGTTAAAAATAAAGTCATAGAAGGCAGGATAAAATAGCACCCTCATCAAAAGAAGTGATAACTCTACAACGGTATGAGATGTTTTCTAAAATATCATGTGATGGTTAATTTATGCACCAACTTGAAGGGTGTTTTTGCATATGATTAACATTTAAATCAGTGAACTTTGGGTAAAGCAGATTGCCTTCCATGATGTGGGGGGGCCTCATCCAATCAACTGAAGGCCTGAATAGAACCAACATACCGGCCTTCTTGTGCAAGAAGGAATTCTCCAGCAGATGGCCTACAGATTTTATTAGTATCATTGTTTCTCTTGGTTATCCACTCTGCTGACCCACACAGCAGAATTTGGACTCACCAAGCCTCCATAATCTTATGCTTTAATTTCTTATAATAAATCTCCTTCTATATATATATGTGTGTGTGTGTGTGTGTGTGTGTGTGTGTGTGTGTTTGTGTGTGTGTATATATGCATACATCCTGTTGATTCTGTTTTTCTATATAACCCTGATTATACAGTATTTGCTCAGTCTTCTAAGTGTCTCAACCAAGAAAATGCACAAAGTACTAAGATAATATGTCATCAAGAGATTCCTCTCCCTTCTATACCAAGAAAGAAAACCTATCAACATGCTTTGAATTGAAAGGAAAAATCAGTCAATGATGTGATAACTCTGCCATACTAACTTAGAATTCAAGCCTTCTAAAGCCATGTGCTGCCTGAAATCATTGCACACAAGCTCTAGCTATATTTTCTCAATCTTGAGAGTCTTTCTTCTTAAAAGGAATAGTATTATTAACTATGAGTAAATCCTACATGATGATAAAATTCAAATTTAATGGTAAACTATTCACTGAGAAATTTGGAAACAATCTATCTGCTTTTTAACATTCTTCAATTATCATAGCATTTTCTCTGAAAATCAATGTTCTATACAGCTAGTGCCTGGCAACAAGGGACCTCAAATAATGACTTTAGTGAGATAGGGAAATCTGTTTTGGTTCAAAAATGATTGGAGAGAAAGACTGCTAGATCATACATTCATATTTCAATGAAAATGTAGTTTATTCCCAAGTCAGCTTTTCAATACAGGCAGTCCCTGACTTACCATGGTTCAATTTAGGATTTTTTTTTACTTTACAATGGCACAAATTGATACACATTCAGTAGAAACCGTACTTTGAGTACCCATACAACCTTTCTGTTTTTCAGCACAATAGTCAATAGATTACATGATATATTAAACTTTTTTAATAAAATAGGCTTTGTATTGGATGATTTTGCTGAACTATGGGCTAATGTAACTGTTCTGAGCAGGTTTAAGGCAGACTAGGTTAATCTATGATGTGTTGTTAGGTGAGATGTATTAAGTACATTTTTTACATACAATATTTTTAATTTACTGTGGGTTTATCATAATGTAACCCCACTGTAAGTTGAGGAGCATCTGTATTTATGTTTATAATGTTTGCCTAGTTGATTCTTAATATTGGTAGTTTCTTTTCAAAAATTTTTTAACACATGTCAAACCATGATGAAGATGAGACTGCCATATGTTGCTTTCAAGTTGAGCTTCAATGGTCCATTTCCTTGAAAACTGGATACTAATATATTTCTTAGTATTTAAGCCCCTAAGTGGCATGTTTAAAAAAATATTTCCAGCAGCCATTCAGATGTTTCTATACTAGTTTTGTGCCTTACTTACTACACACACACAATTACTGATGAGACCAGGAGGAAGAAATGTGCTTAAACCAGCTAAACAAAAGGTACTCAATTTCTTATTCCCTATAATAAGAAGAATTGGAATTCCAAGTAAAGTCCCACAAAAAACGAAGCCAGTAATAGATTCTAGATAGATGCAAGGATGAGAGAGCTCAAATAGGTTAAAAGTCAAAAATTAGCCAAGAGATAAATTATGCATATGGCTTGATTTAACAAAGACAATGTTTCCAATTAAAGCCAAATTTTGTTTTGTGTGTGTGTGCGTGTATTACTTTCCTATCACCATTGTGACAAATTACTACAAACTAGTGGCTTAACGCAATACAAATCTTTATTATAGTGCTGGAGGTCAGAGTTCCAAAATGGGTCTTGCTGGGCTAAAATGGAGATGTTGGCAGGCCTATATTTCTTTCTAAGGAATAATCCATTTCCAGTTTCTAGAGACTACTCACATTCCTTGGATTACAGCCCTTTTCTTCCATCTTCAAAGACAATAAGAGCAGGTCAGTTCTTCTAATGTCCCATCACTATGATCTCCTGTTATGCCTCCCTCTTCCAAACTTAAGGAGACTTGTGATTAAATTGAACTCACTTGGGTAATTCAGGATAATATACTTACTGCAATATCATCTGATTAGCGACTTTCCATGTCCTTTCCTATCTAAGGCATCATATTCACAGGTCCCAGGGATTAAGGCATGGGCATCTCTGGCAGGCAGTTATTCTTTTTATTGTTGTTATTATGAGTTTTTTTGATAATTTCAAATTTTATTTTAGATTCAGGGGGTACATGTGCAGGTTTGTTACACGGGAATATTGTGTGATCCTAAGGTTTGGGGTATGAATGATCCCTCACCCAGCTAGTGAGCATAGTACTCAATTGGTAGTTTTGCAGCTCCCCCCCAACTCTAGTAGTCTCCAGTATCTACTGTTTCCATCTTTATGTCTATGTGTACTTAATGTTTAGCTCCCACTTATAAGTGAGAACATGTGGTATTTGGTTTTCTATTCTTGCATTAATCCATTTAGGATAATGGGAGTCTGTATTAGTTAGGGTTCTCTAAAGGGACAGAACTAATAGGGTATATGTATATATGAAGGGAAGTTTATTAGGAAACATGAATCACACAATCACAAGGTGAAGTCTCATGATGGGCCATCTGCAAGCTGAGGAGCAAGGAAGCCAGTCCGAGTTCCAAAACCTCAAAAGTAGGGAAGCCGACAATGCAGCCTTCAGTCTGTGGCCCAAGGCCCAGGACCCTCTGGCAAATCACTGGTGTAAGTCCAAGAGTCCCAAAACTAAAGAATTTGGAGTCTGATATTCAAGAGCAGGAAGCATCCAGCACAGGAGAAAGATGAAGCCTGGAAGACTCAGCAAGTCAAGTCCCTCTACCTTCCTCTGCCTGCTTTATCCTAGCTGCACTGGCAGCTGATTAGATGGTGCCCACCCAGATTGAGGGTGGGTCTGCCTTTTCCAGTCCACTGACCCAAATGTTAATCTCCTTTGCCAACACCCTCACAGACACACCCAGAAACAATACTTTGCATCCTTCAATCAAGTTGGCACTCAATATTAACCATCACACGTCCACCCCTTGTCAACTTGAACCCACACACATCTCTTGAAATCATACATAATCTTCAAATATAAACAATAATGAGGTCATAATTATGCCTAACATACAGCTATCCTTCGTATAACTAGAAGTGCGCTAATTATTATTTGTAGCACAGTATGTATATATTTTTTACATTGATGTCCACAAAATATGAATTTGTTTTTGATTTTTATTAATTCAAGAACTTGTATCTTTTGATTTAGAATCTCCAGAAGCTGTGCTTTTGTAGAGTCCATGTGAAATGACAGGTCATCTGAATTTGCCTTAAAAGTTAGCAAGAGATATCTTACATCAATTGCTTTTGCCAAGGGTTGGTTATATGCTGCAAAAGTGATTTAACCTCTGAAAGACATTTATAATAGAGACCTAAGATTCTGTTATTGAAAGCAGGGGTCCTCAGCTTTTGTGGCACCAGGGACTGGTTTTGTGGAAGACTATTTTTCCATGGAGAGAGGTAGGTTTCAGGATGAAACTGTTCCACTTCAGATAATCAGGCATTAGATTACAAGGAACGCACAACCTAGATCCCTGGCATGCACAGTTCACAATAGGGTTTATGCTCCTATGAGAATCTAATACCATCACTGATCTGACAGCAGGCAGAGCTCAGGCAGTAATGAAAGCCATGGAGAGTGGTTGTAAATACAGATGAAGCTTCACTTCTTTGCCCGCCACTGACCTCCTGCTGTGTGGCCCCAGTTCCTAACAGGTCAGGGACCAGTACCAGTCCATGGCCCAGGAGTTGGGGATCCCTGATCTAAAGCCTGTTAAACACAACTACTATAGTCTTAAAGTGTAGAGTATGGACTCGAGCTAGACAGACTGTGTTTAAACCCCAGCTTTACCACTTACTAACTGTGTCATCTTCAAGAGGTCATTTAACTACTCTAGACTTCAGTTTCCTAATCTGAAGAAACAGAATTTAAAATATTAACTAAGTGAGACGATATATGCCAATAGAATGGTGTCTGGCACAAAGTTAAGTGCTACATACAGGTTAGCTATTATTACTGAGTTATAATTTTAAAACCATCCAAAATGTCTAATTTAATAAAAATATATTGCCAACATTAGCAATAACAGATCTTGACTCATTTCATAACTACTAACTATATTAAGGAACAAACACTCTTTTAAAAACTATACATTTTATACATGCATATGTAATGCCAAATACTAACTAAAGTAAAGGTCATTCCTATATGATAGAAAACACTGAGTCGTAAAATGACTTAGATATTATGTATTGCCATCTTCCCAATGAAAGAGAATCTATAGCCACTTTGGAAGACAGTTTGGCAGTTTTTCACAAAACTAAATATACTATTAACCATAAGGCTCAGCAATCACATTCTTTAGTATTTACCCAAAGGAGCTTAAAACTTATGTTTACACAAAACCAGCAAGCAGATATTTATAGCAGCTTTATTCATAAATGCCAAAATTTGAATGTAACCAAGATATCCTTCAGTAGGTTAATGAATAAATAAACTGTGGTAGATTCAGAAATGATTATTCATTGCTAAAAAAAAATGATCTATCAAGCCATGAAAAGACGTGGAGGAGCCTTAAATCTGTATTACTAGGTACAATAAGTTAATTGGAAATGGCTACATACTGTATGATTCTAACTATATGACATTCTGGAAAAGGTAAAACTATGGAGACAGTAGAAATATCAGTGGTTGCCAGGGGTTGTGGAATAGGGGAAGGAGGGATGAACAAGCAGAGAATGGAGGATTTTTATGGCAGAGAAACTACTCTATAGATACTATAATTGTTGATACTTGTTATTTTAAATGTTTTCCAAACCCATAGAATATACAAGAGCGAACCCCAATGTAAACTATGGACTTTGGGTGATATTGATGTGTAAATTCATCAACTATAACAAATGTGTCACTCTGGTGGGGGATATTGACAATGGGGGAGGTTACACATGTGTAGGGTAGAGAAGATACGGGAAATCTCTATAACTTCCTCTCATTTTTGCTGTGAACCTAAGACTTCTGTAAAAAATAAAGTCTAGTTTAAAAAAATGAAAAGGGGTAAAATATTTCTGAGTGCTCTGGGAGCAAAGTTGTAAATGGGAAATTCACCCACAGATGAACCATCATTGGAAGCTTTGTGGTAAATGTTATTATTACTTTTTTGAATAATATTTTGACTCTGGAAATCCATATAGTCAAAAGCATTTGTAGATACAGAGTTTTTCAAGAGTGTGCTTTCTGTAAGTACTCAGATTATGAAATTATACACTAATTAGTATAACTGGCACATGGATCTCAATTAAGATTTCTAAAATTATGAGTCTGCTAATGAGTAGGTAAAAGAGAATTCATACAATTCCAAGATTTCTTAAGACTTAGAATTTCTCAAATTATGAACATACTAACATAACAGTAGAATTATATTTATGAGAGAAAAAATAGAGGGATTTTTTTCTAAACAAATATATGTTCTCATTATTTTAATGTTCATACAAAATGTAAATAATTAATGCAGTATACAATGTCTCAATTGTCAAGAAAACATTATGAAGCAAATTATAACAACAATAAAGACACAATTCTTGATTTTGGTGAGAGGGGGATAGGTGGAGTAGAATGAGATTTCTCTGCTTTACTCTTACTGCTAGAAATTGAGTAGGCAATTCAGGATCATTTTATATATTTGCCTTCTTTCAAAGTTGAAAGCAATATACTGACTGAGCACAACTCCTTTTTAAAGCTTCATTTCCTTGTGTTTTCAATTGTTTACTGAATGCAAAATGCATGTTTGAATTATTTAGCATAGAAGGGACTTATAGAAGGCTCTAGAGAAAATGCTTCTGGAACAGTATAGTGTGGCCCTATTTTATCCACCATTGCACAGAACATCTATAAATGGTCCCAGTGCTTACACAGTGCTATAGGGCTCATTCCCATTATCCCTGAGCTGTGGTTACTTCAAATGCTCTGCTAATCGTTCTGAGCTCTAACATGCTCTGGAGAAAAATCTAAATGTTCCCACAAAGTCAAAGAAAAGTCCCACTAATGAAATTAAGCAAAGGGAATAAAATGTGTTTTTGTCAATGTGTAGGCCCCTTAAGTGAAATTTTGGAAGGTGATGCACATGGATTATTCAGTAGAAAAGCTTTTAATTAGTGTTATTTCACACTTACTCTGTAAAGGGCAAAAATAATCAAAACTGTCCATCAGGTTTGTTGAATGTGTAACCAAGCAAATTTTCAACAAGCTGAGTTCCCATCAGTTATTTATTTGAAAAATATCTGAACGTTAATTTATGAAAAGTTACAAGGAGTCGGTAATCAACTTCTTTTAGAGGAAATATACTTTGTTCTTTTAACTCATAAAAGTAATTTTTATCAAACCTAAACTTCATTTTTTTTACTTTCTTTTTTTATCCAGATAATTTTTTTATTACTGAAATACCTAAGAATGTGACAAGGAGATATGGAAACAGACAAGTTACAGAAGAAAGACAATTTCATGAAATAATATATTTTGAACAACTTTCTAATGGTTATTTCTTTCTCTTCCTGATAAGGTTCTCTTTTTCCCCGTCACTCTTTATGTCCTGGCTGTGGAGTGAGAAGTGCATTGAAAACAGCAATTTCCAAAAGCTTTGGTGAGGATGTTATGACAAAGAAAAAAATATGCAAATATTCTGACTCTACCTCAATACTGATTTCAAATCAGCCTGATGCATTAATGTAATTGCTTTAATGGACAATTGTCTACACCTTTTAAACTTCAATCCACCCACATCACTTTCACGGAAGTACCCAAAACATTGTTGATTCAAATATTGTCTCTAGAAACAAAGATAATCCTTTTGTGAGACTTAAAATTTAATTTATAGACTCTGTGTGACACTAGGTCAGTGCTGCCATTAGATTAACACCAATTGACCTTGACAATTCTGACATTTTAAACAGGCAATTGGTAATGATTGGCTCACCTGAGAACAGCTCATTATTTATAGGGCTATCTCTCATAGAAACAAACAGCTCATTATTTATAGAGCTGTCTCTTACAGAAACAACTTGATTCTGACCTGAGTAGTTTTCATCTGCACCTGAGCAGTGCAGAATTACAGATCCCTACTGAATTGAATAGTAATGTGTTCCTTTGTATTCCTTAATTTTATAGTCTTAATTTTTTAACATGTCCTGCAAGGCTTGTATCCCCTCCTGTGGGTGACATCCTAGCTAGACTGCCCAAGGAAAAGTACTGATGGTACATGCATTTCCCTCTTAAGTCTACACCATCCTAAATGCTATTCTGTGGACAATTCTTCATGATATTTGAAAAGAGAGAGAGAGAGCTAGAACACCAGTGTTTGTTTTAGTAGGCATTTATCATGTGCTCATAAATTTTTTTTAAAAACTGCACACACAAACCCATAAAAATCAGTTTGATTTCCTGACTTTTTAGTGATTGCCATTCTAACTGGTGTGAGATGATATCTCATAGTGGTTTTGATTTGCATTTCTCTGATGGCCAGTGATGATGAGCATTTCTTCATGTGTTTTTTGGCTGCATAAATGTCTTCTTTTGAGAAGTGTCTGTTCATGTCCTTCGCCCACTTTTTGATGGGGTTGTTTTTTTCTTGTAAATTTGTTTGAGTTCATTGTAGATTCTGGATATTAGCCCTTTGTCAGATGAGTAGGTTGCGAAAATTTTCTCCCATGTTGTAGGTTGCCTGTTCTCTCTGATGGTAGTTTCTTTTGCTGTGCAGAAGCTCTTTAGTTTCATTAGATCCCATTTGTCAATTTTGGCTTTTGTTGCCATTGCTTTTGGTATTTTGGACATGAAGTCCTTGCCCACGCCTATGTCCTGAATGGTAATGCCTAGGTTTTCTTCTAGGGTTTTTATGGTTTTAGGTCTAACGTTTAAATCTTTAATCCATCTTGAATTGATTTTTGTATAAGGTGTAAGGAAGGGATCCAGTTTCAGCTTTCTACATATGGCTAGCCAGTTTTCCCAGCACCATTTATTAAATAGGGAATCCTTTCCCCATTGCTTGTTTTTCTCAGGTTTGTCAAAGATCAGATAGTTGTAGATATGCGGCATTATTTCTGAGGGCTCTG